>NT_167244.2:4647969-4672374 GCF_000001405.40 Homo sapiens
AGGCTGGTCTCGAACTCCTGACCTCATGATCCTTCTGACTTGGCCTCCCAAAGTGCTGAGATTACAGGCTTGAGCCACCACGCCCAGCCTCTTTTTTTTTTTTTTTTTTTAAATTTAATTTAATGGAGATGAGTTCTCTCAATATGTTACCCAGAGTAGTCTCAAATTCTTGGGCTCAAGTGATCCACCTACCTTGGCCTCCCAAAGTGCTGGGATTATAGGAGTGAGCCACCGCACCCGACCCCTTGTTTGTTATAGTGCTCCCTTGACTCTCAAAAATGTCCAGTGTAGGCCAGGCGTGGTGGTTCACACCTATAATCCCAGCACTTTGGGAGGCCAAGGCAGGTGGATCACTTGAGGTCAGGAGTTTAAGACTTGCCGGGCTAACATGGTAAAACCCTGTCTACAAAAAATACAAAAATTAGCTGTGCGTGGTGGTGCGCACCTGTAATCCCAGCTACTCAGGAGGCTGACTGAGGCAGGAAGACTGCTTGAACCTGGGAGGCAGAGGCGGAGGTTGTAGTGAGCTGAGATTGTGCCACCGCACTCTAGAGCAAGACTCCATCTCAAAAAAAAAATGTCTAGTGTAAATGTATGTTCTTTGAAGTAGAATTGCTAGGTCAAAGAATACGTAAATACTTGATTTGGGTAGATATTTTTAAAATGCTTTCTGTAGAAGCCGCACCAGTGTACCTTCCTTCCTGTCGGCAATGTGTGACAGTACCAGTTTCCTTTCCCCACCCCATCAGCTGAGTGTGTTATCAAACTTTTTTTTTTTTTTTTTTTTTGAGACAGAGTCTCTCTCCATCGCTCAGCCTGGAGTGCAGTGGCATGATCTCGGCTCAATGCAACCTCCACCTCCTAGGTTCAAGCCATTCTCATGCCTCAGCCAATAGCTGTGATTACAGGTGCATGCCACCACCGGCTGATTTCTGTATTTTTAGTAGAGACAGGGTTTTGCCATGTTTTTTTGTTTGTTTTGAGACAGGATCTTTCTCTGTTGCCCAGGCTAGAGTGCAGTGGCATGAACATGGATGGTTCACTGCAGCCTCGACCTCCTGGGTTCAAGTGATCCTTTTGTCTCAGCCTCCCAAGTAGCTGGGATTCCAGGTGGGAGCCACCATGCCCTCCTAAACTCTACCTTTTGGTGAGAGTGACTAGCCACCAAGGCACACTGTAAAGGCCTCAGATAACAGGAAGTGGTAGAGAACTGCGGCCAATCTAACACCTAGACAAATTCAAGGTGGGACCTATCAGGTACTATGCTTGTTACTTGGGTGATTAAATTACCTGTACACCAAAGCCCCATGACACACACTTTACCTATATAAGGAACCTACACATGTACCCCTGAACCTAAAGTAAAAGTTAAAAAATAAAATAATATAATTCAAAGTTTGGGCTACAGAGTATAAGTGAGAGATATTCAGCTACTGGGAGTTTATAAAAGACACACAAACATCGCACAAGAGCAAAAGTCAATTTGAACATCCACCACAGCCAGAGGAAACCAAAACCACTTCCAGTGTATGGCCGTCAGGTAAAGCATTTTGTCCCCCTCACCTCCTCTGCTTCTGGCTGTGAGGGAGAGGGTGGAGAGTCAGACACAGGAAGGCAAGAAAGAAATTCTTGAGGAAGCCAGCCACTCTGCCAGTTTCACACTGGCAGCTTCCCATGTCAAACCACTCAGTCGGAGCTGGCCGAGAGAAAAAACGTAATTCAGAATGATGCTTGGAGGATTTTTTTTTTTTGTTCCAAGGATTGAGCAGGTATGCTCTGTGGCCTGCCTGAGTTATCTTTCATGGGCAATGGAAGAACTAGCCCCACACAACATATTTAAAGGGGTGGGGACACTTGAGTGTGGGGGGTGCACAGCAACATATTCAAGCTTATGTACATGGCATCTGAGGTCGGGGCATGGAAGAATACTGAGGCACTGTGTGTATGTTATTTGTGCGTGAGAATGAAATTCCTTGACCCTGAAAACAGGACAGGGAGTGGAGTGTGTGGTGTGATAAGGAACGCTGAAAACAGCCTCCTGAGAATGCGGTTTGAGTGCTTTTACGAGGCCGCAGGTGTCTCACGACCCGACCTCAAAAAGCCATCTAGTGGATGTTTGTGGTTTAACAAGCACTTTCAATAAATACTTGGCAGACGGATGCTGGGGCGGGTTCTCTTAGAAGAAATGCCCCCCCCATTCCCCCGGCCCCACTCAGCTGGAATTGTCTAAGAACTCATTCTTGGCGTTCACTGCAAGCTATAAACTCTGCAAGTGGTGCACCCGACGTGATCGCCTTGAAGTTATGCGTGAAAGGAGGAGAGCTCATCAATTTTCAGAAAATCCCGGTAAGGGACAGTCCTGACTACCATCAGGTGGACAGGACCCACGCGAAAAATACCAGGGGTTCGGTTATCATGGGTCAGGAAATGAACAAAGAATAATTTTTTTTTTTTTTGAGATGGAGTCTCACTCTGTCGCCCAGGCTGGAGTGCAGTAGCGTGATCCCGGCTCACTGCAACCTCCACCTCCCTGGTTCAAGCTATTCTCCTGCCTCAGCCTCCTGAATAGCTGGGATTACAGGTGCACGTCACCCCACAACAGGACTTAATTAACCTTGCCTTCAAGGTGTACAATAATAGAGAAAAGTTACAATTACTTGCCTCTGCTGTGAGACAAAACCCAGCTGCACCTCCAGCACACGAGAACTTCAAAATGCCTAAGCCGCACATGCCTAAACCGCAGTGGTCAAGCATTCCTACAGGACCTTCTTCATCAGGATCTTGCTTCAAGTGCCAGAAATCTGGCCACTGGGCCAAGAAATGCCCACAGCCCGGGATTCCTCCTAAGCCGTGTCCCATCTGTGCAGGACCCCACTGAAAATCAGACTGTCCCACTCGCCTCGCAGTCACTCCCAGAGCTCTGGGATCTCTGGCCCAAGACTCTCTGACTGACTCCTTCCCAGATCTTCTCAGCTTAGCGGCTGAAGACTGATGCTGTCCGATCACCTTCGAAGCCTCCCGGGCCATCACGGACACTTTGGGTAACTCTTACAGTGGAGGGTAAGTCACCCTTCTTAATCAATATGGAGGCTACCAACTCCACATTACCTTCTTTTCAAAGGCCTATTTCCTTTGCCTCCATAACTGTTGTGGGTATTCATGGCCAGGCTTCTAAACCTCTTAAAACTCCCCAACTCTGGTGCCAACTTGGACAATATTCTTTTATGCACTCCTTTTTAGTTATCCCCACCTGCCCAGCTCCCTTATTAGGTCGAGACATTTTAACTAAATTATCTGCTTCCCTGACTAATCCTAGGCTACAGCCACATTTCGTTGCTGCCCTTTTCCCCAGTTCAAAGCCTCCTTCACGTCCTTCTCTTTTATCTCCTCACCTTAATCCACAGGTATGGGACACCTCTACTCCCTCCCTGGTGAACTATCCACGCCCATTACTATCCCATTAAAACCTAATCACCCTTACCCCGCTCAATGCCAGTATCCCATCCCACAGCATGCTTTAAAAGGATTAAATCCTGTTATCACTCACCTGTTACAGCATGGCCTTTTAAAGCCTATAAACTCTCCTTACAATTCCCCCATTTTACCTGTCCAAAAACCAGATAAGCCTTACAGGTTAGTTCAGGATCTGCGCCATATCGACCAAATTGTTTTGCCTATCCACCCTGTGGTGCCAAACCCATATACTCTCCTATCCTCAATACCTCCCTCCACAACCCATTATTCTGTTCTAGATAAACCTAGCTGACCCCATAGATCCTAAATCCTTTCTCCTCTCCCCTTTCCATTCCTTAAAACACAGCTCCCACACTAGCTCTCCATGACTCATCCCGACCCTTTTCATTACACACAGCCGAAGTGCAGGGCTGTACAGTCAGAATTCTTACACAAGGACCAGGACCGCACCCTGTAGCCTTTTTGTCCAAACAACTTGACTTACTGTTTTAGGCTGGCCATCATGTCTCCGTGCAGTGCCTGCCACTGCCCTAATACTTTTACAGGCCCTCAAAATCACAAACTATGCTCAACTCACTCTCTACAGTTCTCATAAATCTATTTTCTTCCTCACATCTAACACGTATACTTTCTGCTCCCCGGCTCCTTCAGCTGTACTCATTCTTTGTTGAGTCTCCCACAGTTACCATTGTTCCTGGCCAGGACTTCAATCCAGCCTCCCACATTATTCCTGATACCACACCTGACCCCCATGACTGTATCTCTCTGATCCACCTGACATTCACCCCATTTCCCCGTATTTCCTTCTTTCCTGTTCCTCACCCTGATCACACTTGGTTTATTGATGGTAGTTCTACCAGGCCTAATTGCCACACACCAGCAAAGGCAGGCTATGCTATAGTATCTTCCACATCTATCATTGAGGCTACTGCTCTGCCCCTCTCCACTACCTCTCGGCAAGCTGAACTCATTGCCTTAACTCGAGCCCTCACTTTTGCAAAGGGACTACATGTCAATATTTATACAACTCTAAATATGCCTTCCATATCCTGCACCACCATATTGTTATATGGGCAAAAAGAGGTTTCCTCACTACGCAAGGGTCCTCTGTCATTAATGCCTCTTTAATAAAAACTCTTCTCAAGGCCGCTTTACTTCCAAAGGAAGCTGGAGTCATTTACTCCAAGGGCCATCAAAAGGCGTCAGATCCCATCGCTCAGGGCAATGCTTTTGCTGATAAGGTAGCTAAAGAAGCAGCTAGCATTCCAAATTCTGTCCCTCACGGCCAATTTTTCTCATTCTCATGGGTCACTCCCACCTACTCTCCTGCTGAAACTTCTACCTATCAGTCTCTTCCCACACAAGGCAAATGGTTCTTGGACCAAGGAAAATATCTCCTAACAGCCTCACAGGCCCATTCTATTCTGCTGTCATTTCATAACCTCTTCCATGTAAGTTACAAGCTGCTAGCCCACCTCTTAGAACCTCTCATTTCCTTTCCATCGTGGAAATCTATCCTCAAGGAAATCACTTCTTAGTGTTCCATCTGCTATTCTACTACTCCTCAGGGAGTGTTCAGGCTCCCTCCCCTCCCTACACATCAAGCTCAGGGATTTGCCCCTGCCCAGGACTGGCAAATTGACTTTACTCACATGCCCCAAGTCAGGAAACTAAAATACCTCTTGGTCTGGGTAGACACTTTCACTGGATGGGTAGAGGCCTTTCCAACAGGGTCTGAGAAGGCCACTGCGGTCATTTCTTCCCTTCTGTCAGACATAATTCCTCGCTTTGGCCTTCCCACCTCTATACAGTCCAATAACAGACTGGCCTTTATTAGTCAAATCACCCAAGCAGTTTCTCAGGCTCTTGGTATTCAGTGGAACCTTCATACCCCTTACCATCCTCAATCTTCAGAAAAAGTAAAACAGACTAATAGTCTTTTAAAGACACACCTCACCAAGCTCAGCCTCCAACTTAAAAAGACTGGACAGTACTTTTACCACTTGCCCTTCTCAGAATTCGGGCCTGTCCTCGGAATGCTGCAGGATACAGCCCATTTGAGCTCCTGTATGGATGCTCCTTTTTATTAGGCCCCAGTCTTATTCCAGACACCAGCCCAACTCGGACTGCACCCCAAAAACTTGTCATCCCTTCTATCTTCTGTCTAGTCATACTCCTATTCACCATTCTCAACTACTCATAAATGCCCTGCTCTTGTTTACACTGCCGGTTTACACTGTTTCTCCAAGCCGTCACAGCTGGTATCTCCTGGTGCTATCCCCAGACCGCCACTCTTAACTCCCTCTTAAAGTAAATAAATAATATTTGCTGGCAGGGCACACTCCAATACTTTCACCCTGATGAAGTCCTATTCTTTACTTTTATACTCACTCCTATTCTTGTTCCCATTTTTATGCCACCCTCTACCTCTCCCCAGCTAGCTCCACCACACTATCAATCTCATTCACTCTCTCCTAGCCGTTTCTAATCCCTCATCGAACCATTGCTGAATTTGCATTTCCCTTTCTTCCTGCGCCTACACAGCTGTCCCCGCCTTACATACAGACTGGGCAACCTCTCCTATCTCCCTACACCTCCAAACTTCCTTTAACAGCCCTCACCTTTACCTTCCTAAAGAACTTCTTTACTTTCTAGACAGGTCCAGCAAGACTTCCCCAGACATTTCACTTCAGCAAGCTGCCGCCCTCCTCCACACTTACTTAAAAAACCTTTCTCCTTATATCAACTCTACTCCCCCCATATTTGGACCCCTCACAACACAAACTACTATTCCTGTGGCCGTTCCTTTATGTATCTCTCGGCAAAGACCCACTGGAATTCCCCTAGGTAATCTTTCACCTTCTCGATGTTCCTTTACTCTTCATCTCCGAAGCCCAACTACACACATCACTGAAACAATTGGAGCCTCCCAGCTCTGTATTACAGATAAGCCCTCTATCAATACTGGCAAACTTAAACACATTAGCAGTTATTATTGCTTAGGAAGACACTTACCCTGTATTTCACTCCATCCTTGGCTACCTTCCCCTTGCTTGTCAGACTCTCCTCCCAGGCCCTCTTCTTGTTTGCTTATACTCAGCCCCGTAAATAACAGTGAAAGGTTGCTCGTAGACACTCAAAGTTTTCTCATACACCATGAAAATCAAACCTCCCCCTCTACGTAGTTACCCCATCAGTCCCCATTACAACCTCTGACGGCTGCCGCCCTAGCTGGATCCCTAGGAGTCTGGGTACAAGACACCTCTTTCAGCACTCCTTCTCATCTTTTTACTTTGCATTTCCGGTTTTGCTCCGCACAAGGTCTCTTCTTCCTCTGTGGATCCTCTACCTACATGTGTCTACCTGCTAATTGGACAGGCACATGCACACTAGTTTTCCTTACTCCCAAAATCAATTTGCAAATGGGACTGAACATCTTCCTGTTCCCCTCATGACACCGACACAACAAAAAAGAGTTATTCCGCTAATTCCCTTGCTTGTCGGTTTAGGACTTTCTGCCTCCACTATTGCTCTCGGTACTGGAATAGTAGGCATTTCAACCTCTGTCACGACCTTCCATAGCCTCTCTAATGACTTCTCTGCTAGCATCACACACATATCACAAACTTTATCAGTCCTTCAGGCCCAAGTTGACTCTTTAGCTGCAGTTGTCCTCCAAAACCACCGAGGCCTTGACTTACTCACTGCTGAAAAAGGAGGACTCTGTATATTTTTTAATGAAGAGTGTTGTTTTTACCTAAATCAATCTGGCCTGGTGTATGACAACATAAAAGAACTCAAGGATAGAGGCCAAAAACTCGCCAACCAAGCAAGTAATTACTCTGAACCCCCTTGGGCACTCTCTAATTGGATGTCCTGGGTGCTCCCAATTCTTAGTCCTTTAATACCTGTTTTTCTCCTTCCCTTATTCGGACCTTGTATCTTCCGTTTAGTCTCTCAATTCATCCAAAACTGTATCCAGGCCATCGCCAATCATTGTATACGACAAATGCTCCTTCTGGGATTACAGGCGTGAGACACCGTGCCCAGCCATTTTTTTTTTCCTAAAGATGATAACCATTCTTTTCCAGCTGTCTTTTCTTTTTTTTTTTTTTTTTTGAGACAGAGTCTCACTCTGTCACCCAGGCTGGAGTGCAGTGGCGCGATCTCAGCTCATTGCAACCTCCACCTCCTGGGGTTCAAGCAATTCTCCCACCTCAGCCTCCTGAGTAGCTAGGATTACAGGCACCCGCCATCATGTCCGGCTAATTTTTTTTTTTTTTTTTTTTTGGAGAGATGGGGTTTCACCATGTCAGCTAGGCTGGTCTTGAACTCCTGACCTTAGGTGATCCGCCCGCCTCAGCCTCCCAAAGTGCTGGGATTATAGGCGTCAGCCACCACACCGGGCGACAAATGCTCCTTCTAACAACCCCACAATATCACCCCTTACCACAAAATCTTCCTTCAGCTTAATATCTCCCACTCTAGGCTCCCACACCGCCCCTAATCCCGCTCGAAGAAGCCCTGAGAAACATCACCCATTATCTCTCCATACCACTTCCAAAAATTTTCGCAGCCCCAACACTTCACCACTATTTTGTTTATTAATATAAGGAGATAGGAATGTCAGGCCTCTGAGCCCAAGTTAAGCCATCATATCCCCTGTGACCTGCAGGTATACATCCAGATGGCCTGAAGCAATTAAAGATCCACAAAAGAAGTGAAAATAGCCTCAACTGATGACATTCCACCATTGTGATTTGTTCCTGTCCCACCCTAACTGATAAATATATTCTCCCCCACCCTTACGAAGGTACTTTGTAATATTCTCCCCTGCCCTTAAGAATGTAGTTTGTATGCCTATCCCAAACCTATAAGAACTAATGATAATCCCACCACCCTTTGCTGACTCTCTTTTCGGACTCAGCCCGCCTGCACCCAGGTGAAATAAACAGCTTTATTGCTCACACAAAGCCTGTTTGGTGGTCTCTTCACACAGACGCCGGTGACACTATTTTCCTAAGCCTTCTGGCTAGTAGCCCCTAATTGTTCAGCTATTCCTCTAACAGCATCTCTAGTGTAGTTAATAAA
This sequence comes from Homo sapiens, assembly GCF_000001405.40. Taxonomy (NCBI): domain Eukaryota; kingdom Metazoa; phylum Chordata; class Mammalia; order Primates; family Hominidae; genus Homo; species Homo sapiens. Next base: position 4,656,535 of record NT_167244.2, read on the forward strand.
TCGCTATTGGTTGTAATAGACGTAGTTTACCCAATCTACACTTTTATTAATTGTTACCCACCAAAATGTTGACTTAAATCCTGCAGCAATTTGATTTTGGGCTTTAAATTGATCTGGTATTCCCCATGGGACTCTTAATTGTGTCTAAATAGACGTGAGAGTCGAAAGACCCATAAAGGGCTTCTCTTGCTTTATGATACTTATTTTTCCTTCCTCTCGTTGATGAAATAACAGGGTGAAAGGGATAGCCAATTGGAATAAAGCACAAGTGCCATTCCAGTTATTTGGCAGTGTCCAGTAAAGATCCACCACAATACCACCACACATCCACTCGGGGATGAACAAGGGCTGACTGATTGATAAGCTCTTGAAAATTCTTAAGCTCACTGCATCCTTCAGGTCTCCAAGGAATGCTAAGTTTCCTCCCTGTTGGGAGAGACACGAAGTGAACTTAGTGTTGGGAGACAGAAGCTGGATGGCCCTCGGGGGCTGACGCGCAGGGTGCCGGACTTCAGGATATAGCAGAGAGAGAGCTTGGCGTGAGTTATTACTCCAGGCTGTAGAATCCTGGAAAAGAGCTACCATGCAGCCCACACCTGGTCGACTGGAGGACCACCTTAGTGGAAAGGGGACAATCTGGGCCTCTGGCCTGCCATGTGCACAAGCATAACAATTGCTTTTGTTTAATGTGGACGGAATATTTGATCCATTCCAACCAGGCATTTGCATCTTGGTATCCTGTGTTAATTGCCAAAATGTTTTTTAAGTCTTTAACTTCTATGATCCTCTAGTAAAATGAATATATGGTTTTAGGAAATTACAAAAACTGATTGGGGCAGTCCATACTTGCTCTTTAGTGATCCACAGAACGTTGGACCGACTACGGCATAAAAGCTCTACATTGGGGGTCAAGAATCCTGGTTGACATTGGGATCTTTATCGAAATCCCCCCAGATTCAGTGGTCCTAATTTACTAATGCCCAGTGTGAGGAGAGTCAGGAGGGACAGAGGTACTTTTCAGAAGTAGAGAGCTGTCTTTGACTTGGCAAGTTCCTACGGGATATAACAAGGCAAGCACTAAATGCAATAGTTTGAGGCAAAATTGACTTGGTTATGTTAATAACTAGATGGTCAGCAATAGAGCGAGGAAAGGAGAAAGAGTAATAGAATAGATGAAAGAGTTAAATTTTTCTTAGCTTTAATTTGGTAGGGTTTCCCCCTGGGACTATGGCCCACAACTCTGGAGGGGGTGGTGCTTTCTTGACTCGGGTGTGATGAATCCATCCCTTTTTCGCTGTACAAACTGCAGTCTCGGTGGTTGGCAGCACAAGGTAGGGTCCTTCCCAGGCTGGCTCGAGTTTTCCTTCTTTCCACCCTCTGATGACAACATGATCTTCAGGCTGGTGCTGGTTTACCAGAAATTTTAGGGGTGGTACCTGTGCTAAAATATTTTTAGTTTTGAGGGAGAGGAAAGTGGAAGATAAACCAAGCATATAATTTCTAAGAAATCGACCTTTTGTTTTAAATGTGGGGACATCAGCAGTGGACTTTATAGTCCTTGGTGCCTTCTTACTGAGAAATTTCCTTTAGCACTTATTTTTATTAGTTTTTTTAGACCAAAGAACGCCAAACACCATTTTATATTTGACAGTGCTTCCTGTATGATTTTTATACCAGATAAGCTAAATTTCACCTTTATATTAGTGTGTTATTAATTTTTTTTTTTGAAACGGAGTCTCACTCTGTTGCCCAGGCTGGAGTGCAGTGGCGCGATCTTGGCTCACTGCAACCTCTGCCTCCCGGGTTCAAGCAGTTCTCCTGCCTCAGCCTCCCAAGTAGCTGGGACTACAGGCACACGCTGCCACGCCCGGCTAATTTTTTTGTATTTTAGTAGAGACGGGGTTTCACCTTGTTGCCCAGGCTGGTCGCGAACTCCTGAGCTCAGGCAATCTGCCCGCCTTGGCCTCCCAAAGTGCTGGGATTACAAGCGTGAGCCACCGCGCCCGGCCTATTAATGTTAAACTTAGTTTTAATAACACTTTGTAGACATATTTATCCAATTTTTAATGTCTGATCATAAGGTAAGTTTTTGTTTTTTGTTTTTTTGTTTTTTTTTTGAGATGGAGTCTTGCTCTGTCGCCCAGGCTGAAATGCAGTGGCACGATCTCGGCTCACTGCAAGCTCCACCTCTCGGGTTCACGCCATTCTCCTGCCTCAGCCTCCCAAGTAGCTGGGACTACAGGCGCCCATCACCACGCCTGGCTAATTTTTTGTATTTTTAGTAGAGACAGGGTTTTACTTGTTAGCCAGGGTGGTCTCTATCTCCTGACCTCATGATCCACCCACCTCGGCCTCCCATAGTGCTGGGATTATAGGCGTGAGCCACCGTGCCCGGCCCATAAGGTAAGATTTTTATAGACTGTTTTTTTTTTTTCTTTTTGAGAAGGAGTTTCACTCTTGTTGCCCAGGCTGGAGTGCAATGGTGCAATCTTGGCTCACTGCAATCTCTGCCTCCCGGGTTCAAGGAATTCTCCTGTCTCAGCCTCCCAAGTAGCTGGGATTACAGGCATGCACCACCACACCCAGCTAATTTTGGATTTTTAGCAGAGATGGGGGTTTCTCCATGTTGGTCAGGCTGGTCTCGAACTCCCGACCTCAGGTGATCTGCCTGCCTCGGCCTCCCAAAGTGCTGGGATTACAGGCATGAGCCACTGAGCCTGGCCTGTTTTTAACTTTTTATAATTTTTGTTAAAGAGCGGGTTAGTGCTTTAAGAAAAACCCGTTGTGTTTTTATTTTAATGCTCAGTTCACAGAAAAACTGGGTGATACCCTTTTAACCTTAGCCAATATGTTTACACACATAATTTCCATTACAATTAACATTTTAAAACTTGCTTAAACCTTCAAAACAAATTTTTTTTTCTTTTTTGAGATGGAGTCCCACTCTGTCACCCAGGCTGGAGTGCAATGGTGCGATCTTGGCTCACTGCAACCTCCGCCTCCCACGTTCAAGTGATTCTCCTGCCTCAGCCTCCTGAGTGAGTAGCTGGGATTACAGGTGCCCACCACAATGCCCAGCTAATTTTCGTATTTTTAGTTGAGACGGGGTTTCACCAGGTTGGCCAGGCTGGTCTCAAACTCCTGATCTCAGGTGATCCACCCACCTCGGCCTCCCAAAGTGCTAGGTAGGATTACAGGTGTGAGCCACCATGCCTGGCCACAAAATTTTTTTTTAACCTTTTAATGTAGGTAAAAATCCACATTCTTATGCCTCCTTATAATCCTTTTACTAAAAGTATATTTTACTTTCCTTATACATCTTGCACATAAATTGTTTCTTCAATAGTTTTACATTCAGGGTAACACCCCTGGTGGCCTTTGGAATGTGTCCAGACTTGCTGGCTTCTTGCTTCTAGCACTCCCATTATCTCAAGTAGCCATACATTTCAAAGAAAATGCTAAACCATCACATCTGTAGTTCATTAGCTTGATACATCGCTTCCTTTCAACCCCCACATCCTCACCCCCTGTTTGTTTGATCACCAATAAATAGTGTGGGCTTCCAGAGCTCCGGGCCTTTGCAACCTCCATACTAGTGTTGGCCCCCTGGTCCCACTTTCTCTCTGAACTTGTGTTTTCTCATTCCTTTGACTCTGCTGGACTTCGTAGCCCCCACGGCCTGGTGTTGGGTCTGATCACCCCAAAAGGTTGATGGCCTTTTTTTTTTTTCCTGCATTGCTGAGAGCTTGGGTTATTCCTTGCACTGGGTAGGTCTTGATTTTTCACCCCTGAGGCCGCCACAATAGGGCGGGGTTCACCTCCTCAAGAGAGAGAACCAGAGACCACCCCCAGAGGGGAATGTAATCCCAGACAAGCCCCCAAATTGTTATATATAAAGTTTCGGTGCCGCAAAAGGAATATCACTCAAATATAAAATTTTCCTTTTAATTCTCAGCAAGGCTAGGTACTTCTATATAGAAGGGTGCACCCTTACAGATGGAACAATGGTGAGCGCACACTTGGACAAGGGAGGGGAAGGGGTTCTTATCCCTAATGCACGTGGCCCCTGCTGCTGTTTCGTTCCCCTATTGGCTAGGGTTAGACAGCACAGGCTAAACTAATTCTGACTGGCTAATTTAAAGAGAATGACGGGATGAGTGCTTTGGCGGGAGTCAGGGCAGAGCAGGTGGCAGGTGATCAAAATGAGTTAGGGTGGAGCAGGAGATCAGAATGAGTCAGGGTGGAGTAGGTAATCAAAAAAGATTGCTTTACGAGGAAGTTAAGTTTAAAAGTAGAAGGTAAAGAATTGAACATAATGACAATTATTTGAAAAGAAATTTAGAACTCATATCTAATACCCTGGAATATAAGAGGAAGTTGCATGCTGCCTCCTCGGTTTTATCCCAGGTAGCTCTAGCTTTCTTGCTGCCCACAGAGGCCTGGAGCAGGAGAGATGCTAAGATGCCATGGAGTGCCCATTTGGCCACTGGCAGTCTGGGCAGGTTGCCCCTTTCTGGGTTTGTGGTGACGGAGGGGAGGCCAAAAGGCGCAGACTGAGTCCCCAGGTGGCTGCAGGCAGCTCCAGCCCAGTCCTGAGGATCCTCCTCACCATGGTCACCTGCCTTAGTAACTGTGCCCAGGAAGTGGCCTGCTGCTTGCTGTGCTGCTGCTTTTCCTACTTCTGCCCTTCCCTGCCACCCCTCACATGTCTCAGTTGACAAGCAATTCCTTGTCTCCCCTGGCCCCCTAGGGAAAGGGCTAAGAAACAGTCCATGTACACCCCGACCTTACTAGCCTAAGGTGGGCAAAGGAGTGTGGAGCAGCCTAGAGTACAGAGCCCTGGGGGAGGAGCCCGCTAATAAGGGACGCTCTCCTATAGCCATATTTAAATGCTAGCTAGGCTGAGGTGGACAAGCTCTGCCAGCTGCTGTCATCTTCAGAAGATAGACGCAGCAGTAAGGAATATTTGTTTTGCTTTTTTATAAAATGTTTAAAAGCACTGTGGCTAAGAAACTTCAGGCCGGGCGCGGTGGCTCATGCCTGTAATCCCAGCACTTTGGGAAGCCGAGGTGGGCGGATCACGAGGTCAGGAGATCGAGACCATCCTGGCTAACACGGTGAAACCCCGTCTCTAAATTAGCCCGCTGTGGTGGCGGGCGCCTGTAGTCCCAGCTACTCGGGAGGCTGAGGCAGGAGAATGCTGGGAGTGGTGGCATGCGCCTGTAGTTCCAGCTACTCTGGAGGTCAAGATGGGAGTCCAGGGCGGTTGAGGCTGCAGTGAGCCAAGATCGTGCCACTACAACCCAGCCTGGGCAACGGAGCGAGACCTTGTCTCAAAAAATTAAAATAAAATAAAAACTCCCACAAGGAAGAAAGTAGTCATCTTTATAGAGTCCTCTCCATGTAGTGTTAGCACAATCGCTCAAGAGGCACCCAATGTAGAGAAACGACGGTGAGGTTAGCAGTACCAAGGAGCAGGGTTTGAATCCCGGCTCTTGCTCTTTTTTTTTTTTTTTTTTTTTTTTTTTTTTTAGTATTTATTGATCATTCTTGGGTGTTTCTCAGAGAGGGGGATGTGGCAGGGTCATAGGATAGTAGTGGAGAGAAGGTCAGCAGATAAACACGTGAACAAAGGTCTCTGGTTTTCCTAGGCAGAAGTCCCTGCGGCCCTCGGCAGTGTTTGTGTCCCTGGGTATTTGAGATTAGGGAGTGGTGATGACTCTTAAGCATGCTGCCTTCAAGCATCTGTTTAACAAAGCACATCTTGCACCGCCCTTAATCCATTTAACCCTGAGTTGACACAGCACATGTTTCAGAGAGCACAGGGTTGAGGGTAAGGTTATAGATTAACAGCATCCCAAGGCAGAAGAATTTTTCTTAGTATAGAACAAAATGGTGTCTCCTATGTCTACTTCTTTCTATGCAGACACAGTAACAATCTGATCTCTCTTTCTTTTCCCCACATTTCCCCCTTTTCTTTTCGACAAAACCGCCATCGTCATCATGGCCCGTTCTCGATGGTCGCTGTCTCTTCAGAGCTGTTGCGTACACTTCCCAGACAGGGCAGCCTGGCAGAGGCGCTCCTCACCTCCCAGACGGGGTGGCCGGGCAGAGGCGCCCACTTCCCAGACGGGGCGGCCGAATCCCGGCTCTTTCATGTTTTAGCTGTTGGGCTTTGGGGAAGTTATTCTACCTCTTTCAGCCTGTGCACCCTGTCTCATCATTAAAAAATGAGAATGAGGCCAAGTGCAGTGGCTCATGCCTGTAATCCCAACGCTTGGGGAAGCGGAGGCAAGAGAATTGCTTGAGGCCAGGAGTTTGAGACCAGCCTGGGCAACATAATGAGATCCCAATCTCTGCAAAAAAATTTAAAAATTATCTGGGCATGGTAGCACACGCCTGCAGTTCCAGCTACTCAGGAGGCTGAGGTGGGAGGATCACTTGAGCCCAGGAATTTGAGGCTGTAGTGATTGCTCCACTGCGCTCTAGCCTGGGTGACAGAATGAGACCCTGCCTCAAAAAAAAAAAAAAAAAGTGAAAAGTGAAAATGATAATACCTACTATGAAGGATTGCTTTAAGAAGAAATGAGATAATGTACACAAAAGTACATCACATATCGCTTAGCATGTGGCTGAGACTCAGAAAAAATCCTGGCTTTGTTTTCCTGCATTGGGAGTTTATTGTTGTCAAAGTGATGGTTCCAAGAAGTCAAAGGAGAGCCAGAGAACTGGACAGCTCAGCAGCAGTTGGTTTGGGTCACCAAATGCCTCTCTTCCCTCCCTATTGCCACTGACTTAGATCCTGGAGATGTAAGGTTTTAAAAACAGCAGCCTATTATCTTTTATTTTTGGTAATCCTTGTAACCTGGTTCCCTATCTTAATGAAAAAAACCAATGGTTCTGGCTTTATTACCTAAAGAAAGGAATGACAGTATAATACCAATTATAAATAAATGGGTCAAATTTTTGGCTTTAGAGTTTCAAAGACTTATGGCATTAAAAAAAAAAAAAAGAAAAAATGGACCGGGCGCAGTGGCTCACGCCTGTAATCCCAGCACTTTGGGAGGCTGACGCGGGTGGATCACTTGCAGTCAGGAGTTTGAGACCATCCTGGCCAACATGGTGAAACCCCGTCTCTACTAAAAATACAAAAATTAGCCGGGTGTTGTGGCACGTGCCTGGAATCCCAGCTACTTGGGAGACTGAGGCATGAGAATCCCTTGAACCCGGGAGGCAGAGGTTGCAATGAGCTCACTGCACTCCAGCCTGGGCGACAGAGCAAGACTCTGTCTCAAAAAAAAAAAAGAAAAGAAAAGAAAAAAAGAGAAAATGAAGAGTTCCTTTTCTCAACACTCTCATCAATACATGCATGCACACACACTCTTGCATGCAGCCATGAATTCTCATGTGTGCATACACACATTCAAAGGACTAGATAAAGATTCTCCAGACTTTGCAATAGGGAAGTCAGGTGGAAGCAGGGAGCTAGAATGGATAATGTATGAAGAAACTATTAATGTGTTTTTTCCTTTTATACTCTTTTGCCTTCAGCAAGTAAATGACCTCTTTCTTATTTGGTTGTGGCATCAAACTGCTTGTGAGGAGATTAAGATTGTTTCAGAAGAAATATAAAGAGAAGGAAATGGTAATATGCATCTATTGAAATTCAAAATAGGATTTTGCAGCAAGACAATGGACTTGAAAACTGGACTATGAGAAAGAAATTGTTTTCTGCATTCATTTAGCTCCCATTTAACATAATCAAGAGCCAGATCTAGAATCAAGTTTCTACCAAAGGAGGAGGTAATTTAATCTCTCATCTTTGATTTCCTATATGTCCATAATGAGGATAATAACAGCTACCTCAACAGATTGTTTCCAAAGGGAACCCTTGTCTTTTGAAGTGGCAATTAGAGCTAGGAAGCCAAAGATAAGATATGAAAAGAATAAAAGAGAAGCCTACCACTTCTCATCTTGGAGTTTCAACAAGACGAAGGCAGGGAGGTGAGAGTCAAGGAGATGCCTTGGAATTGGGGGAATGGCTTCAGAAACATCCAGAAAACAGAAGAGATCACTGAAGCTGCTACAAAATTTTGCCCATTGTAGATAAGTGGGCAAATCAGGATGCACTGGCAGGGAGACAGGGTCTGTTTTGTGTTACCAGCCCTTTTCCAGTGATGGGTATTGAATTGAGAGCCATGGGCCTGCCATGGGGCATGGGGGGTAGGAAGAGGGTGACCTGGCAGCAGAGGCATGTGGTTTGCATAACTTGGTTAGGAGCTGAATGGGAGACATGGTAGAGATTCAGGGGTCCCACTGGGCTACCGAGAGCCACAGGGAGGTTGAGTCAGCCAGAAAGCACCAGTGAGATCAGATCCAGCCAAGAGATCCACGAGAAACTCTAAATGTTGACTTTAGCCAAAGGCCCCCAGGATGAATGTGACCAAGTACATACTGACTCATAAACCGGAGGAGCTGGAGGACACTCTGAGAACCCAAGGACCCTTGCTGTCCTCCTATACCTGTCCCCAGGAGATTGCTTAAGCCACTCTATTTATTTTCATGCTCATGGGTTTGTGAGTTGTCTGTGGTTTGTCTAATCAGGCTGGGCTTGACAGGGCTTGGTAGGACTCCTTTAGTCCTGGTCCAGTGTCTATTCTGGGTCACAGCTGAAGGGGCAATGGATATCTGGAATTTGCCTTTCTCTTGTCAGATCACAGGAGTGCAAGAGGCCAAGCCAAACTACAAAAGCACATTGAAAGCATCTGCTTGCATCGTGTCCTCTGACATTCTGTTGGCACAAGCAAGTCACACAGCAAAGGGGATGGATGTACACTTAAATAATAAGGAGGAAGCAAAGAATTGGGAATAACAGTCCAAACCACCACAGGGCCCTACCTACCCCCAAGAAGTAATATCCTCAGATTGATCTGGGAAATCCAAGAGCAGATGATGTTTCCCATGTGCCAAGAATATCAGTGGAGTATCACACAGAGGGCCCCAAAAGCCAGCACGCCAAGGATGATGGAGCAGGATGAAGAGACCCTGGGTCTTAGATAATATCGTTAGGGGGCTTACTGGCTGCTGACCTCCGGACATTTTTGAAATATGAAACAATTAAATGTCTTTATTAACTGACATTATTAGCTGAGTTTTCTGTTGCTTTCATCTGAATGCATCCTCACTGTTGCAGGACTCTATTTTTATTTTTATTTATTTATTTATTTTTGAGATGGAGTTTCACTCTTGTCGCCCAGGCTGGAGTGCAATGGTGCCATCTTGGCTCACTGCAACCTCCACCTCCCGAGTTCAAGTGATTCTCCCACCTTAGCCTCCCCAGTAGCTGGGACTACAGGCATGTGCCACTATGCCAGGCTAATTTTGTATTTTTAGTGGTGACAGGTTTCACCATGTTGGCCAGGCTAGTCCTGACCTCAGGTGATCTGCCCACCTCGACCTCCCAAAGTGCTGGGATTACAGGCTTGAGCCACCACGCCCAGCCTTGTTGCAGGACTCTTATTAACCCTATTTGTCCATGAGACCCAGAGACATAAAGGCGGGAGTTTGGGTTTTTTGTTTTGTTGTTTTTTCAGGCAGCCCTCTGAACCAAAATGGGTTCAGAGAGACTCCCTGGAGGTTGGGTTTGATCTCAGACTTTGTCTCCAGAGCACATGCTTTTACCCACCATTGTGTTATCCTACCTTCCAAGCTTGCGTGAGGCTGAAGTGTCTTATGTACTTGTAGTTTATTCAAAGGATAAAGTGGTAAAATGCCCTCATAGTGAAAAAGTGAAAGGTCTGTGCATGGCAGTAAAAAAGTGCCAATGTGACCTTGGTCTGGCCGGTAGCTGGTCAACTCAGGAAAGAGTCAGCTCCCAGAGACCCCTACTCAGTTGTAAGGCTTGTCTTGGGATTGCCCCAGCTTTACTCAGAGAGGAATGTTGTAGTGAAGGTGACTCCATCCAACAATTTAGTCAAACCTGCTTGCTTGAATCAGGCCCTCTCAAGTACCTCCTCCCTTCATTACTCTATTCTCCTTTGAGATACTGGGAAGGAAATTTAGCAAATAGCTGGTCTAAGCCATCAGCTCTCAGATCCACTCTATAGATTAAGATATCTGGATCACATGGAAATATTTGTCTAAGTTGATACCAGGGACAGACCCAACCATGGTCTGCCCCCCAGGAGGTGCTCAGTCAGGATTTACTAATAAACAAACAAACCATCATCTAGTATTAAGGACTGATGATTGTCACTAGGATCCAGCGATAACTTGACTTAAAGTTCTATTTGCCAGAATATTCAGGGTTATTGACATTCAAGGGAACTGACTGACGCTAGCCAAAGTCACACGAGACTGATAGGTAAGCTAGAATACCTGGGACATTGATTTTTCCAGTGAGTAGTGAATTCTTGTTCCTCAGCCTAAGGCACTTCCTGGTACTAAGGTGCAGATGCAGACTAAACAAGATGATGACCCAACATGAGCCAGAGGGTCAGAACCTGGTGAGGGAAGTTTCTCCAGGGCCCTGCAGAAGCCACTGAGCTATCCGTGCCTTGGGTGGATTTAGGAATTTTGAAAGTGTGACTTAGGCCGGGTGTGGTGGCTGACGCCTGTAATCCCAGCACTTTGGGAGGCCGAGGCGGGTAGATCACGAGGTCAGGAAATCGAGACCATCCTGGCTAACACGCTGAAACCCCGTCTCTACTAAAAAATACAAAAAATTAGCCAGGCGTGGTGGTGGGCGCCTGTAGTCCCAGCTACTCGGGAGGCTGAGGCAGGAGAATGGCATGAACGCGGGAGGCGGAGCTTGCAGTGAGCCAAGATCGCACCACTACACTCCAGCCTGGGCGACAGAGTGAGACTCCGTCTCAAAAAAAAAAACAAAACAAAAACAAAAACAAAACAAAACAAAAAAACTGGAAAATCTAGTCCTGCCCAAGCTCCTCTCTCTGTCTTTGAGGGGAGCCAATCTCCAGAAATCGCTGCTGTCTTCCCCATTACCCTGCATGGCTGCTGGCTCCCAGGTGACCATCCCAGAATCTCCAAGTGTTCAGGGCCACCTCTGCTGCATCTGCCAGAACTCCCAAGCTTCACTGACCTCCTATGATGATGGGGCCCCTGGTGCTGACACAGCTCAGCCTCTTTATGAGAGGCTCCTGCACAGAGGGACCAGGACTGCACTGACACCTCCTTGCCTAGGGCTCTGCTTCCACAGCTGGGCTGTAGCCCTTCTTTCTTCCGGTCTTCTCCTTTGTTCTGAAGCAGGAGGACTTCCCAGGGCATTCCAGTTTGCCGTGTTTCTTTCACTCATTCCGCCAAACGTATTTATTGGTGGCCAATTTTGTGACATCAATGTGCTAAGCACTGGGGTAGTGGTGAACAAAAGTTAGGTCCCTGTCCATGTAGTTTAGGGTCCAGCTGAGAATACCAACATTTAATGAGACATCACAATGAAATGTGCTGAGAGTCATGGAACAGAGACACCTAATCTAGTGGGAGAGAAAGCAAAGCCCTTTCTAACAATGTGAAGTTTATGATGAGAACTGGAGAATGAGTAGAAATTAGCCCCGTAAAAGAATGGGGGCGAAGAGGCTTACTGTTTTATACAAATTGCTTCCAATAGCAGAAAAATGCTTCATGAGATAATTACCTAGATACAGAGTTATAACCAACATTAAAAACAAAACAAGCGGCCAGGCGTGGTGGCTCACGTCTGTAATCCCAGCACTTTAGGAGGCCGATGTGGGCAGATCACGAGGTCAGGAATTCGAGACCAGCCTGGGGAAGCCAACATGGAGAAACCTTGTCTCTACTAAAAATACAAAAATTAACCGGGCGTGGTGGTGGGCGTCTGTAATCCCAGCTACTCAAGAGGCTGAGGCAGGAGAATCGCTTGGACCTGGGAGGCAGAGGTTGCAGTGAGCCGAGATTGTGCCACTGCACTCCAGCCTGGGCAACAGAGCAAGACTCCGTCTCAAAAACATAAAAAAAAACAAAGAAAAGAAAACTAAAAACAAACAAGCAAAGAAAAAAAAATGCCTTTCAAAAAGAGAGTATACTTTCAAACTATTTTATAAGACTTAATATAACCTAGTCTGGTAGCAGTGGCTCATGCCTGTAACCCCAGCATTTTGGGAAGCCAAGGCGGGTGGATCTCTTGAGGCCAGGAGTTCGAGACCAGCCTGGCCAACATGGCAAAACCCCATCTCTACTAAAAATTTAAAAACATTTTTTTAAAAAATTAGGCGACCATGGTGGCACATGCCTGTAATCCCAGCTATTCGGGATGCTGAGACACAAGAATAGCTTGAACCTTGGAGGTGGAGGTTGCAATGAGCTGAGATTGTGCCACTGCACTCCAGCTTGGGTGACAGAGCGAGACTCTTATCTCAAAAAAAAAAATTAATATAACCTCTATAACAATATTAGACAAAGACAGTGAAAGAAAGGAAAGCTATAGGCTAATCTCACTGACAAACATACCTGGAAAAATCCTAAATAAAAGTTTTGCAAATGAAACCAAGCTGTGTGTGTGAGCATGTGTGTGTATTTGTGTACAATGCTAACTTGACAATGAAAAATAAAAGTCCATAAATAATGACTTATTTCACTTAGCATAATGTTTTTGAGGTTCCTCACCGTTGTAGCATATAATGTATCACTACCACATTCCTTTTTTTTTTTCTTTCCTTGAGACAGGGTCTTACCATTGCCCAGGCTGGAGTGTAGTGGTGTGATCATGTTTCACTGTAGTCTCCGCCTCCTGGGCTCAAGTGATACTCCAACCTCTTGCCTTCCGAGTAGCTGGGACCACAGGCACGAGTCACCATGTCCGGCTAATTTTTTTTTTTTTTTGAGGAAGCAATTTCTTTAATTTTATCAGAATCCAGGACACAAGAAGAAAAACACCCAAAAACCACATGGAGACAGAAGACAAGACACAACTCCTCCCCCACTGCCTCCCTGCTCTAGAGTGGGGACAAAGTGGGGGTGAGACAGCTGGGGGGAGACCTGAACCTCAGTCCAGCCCTACAGACTCCAGGCCTGCAGGGAAGGAGGGTAACGGGGAGGCAGGGCCCAGCCCCCCAGTGTGGGGAAACAGCTGAGGGAAGGCCCCCCTCAAAAGGCTCCACCTCCTCACCAGCACTCCTGCCCAGGGACAGGGAGCCCACAGCAGCAAGGGGACCCCCGGGGCCATGGCCACGTTCATGACTGAGAAGCAGCTGAGTGGAGGCAGGAGACACAAGATTATCTGGGCAGAATCAGTTGGGGCAGGGGCCTGGGAGGGCCCCATGGGCCAAACCCTAAGGTTACAGGAGGGGGCCCAAAGTGGGGCTAGTGAGTGAGGTCCTGAGTGAGTGGGTCAGTGGCTGGGCCTCTTTCTCCAGCTGCCTGTAGCCCCTCCAATACTGCTGCCAGGGGGGCCCGCCTCCAGGGAAATGGGATAAGAAAGCAGCCTGCCCCTACTGCAGACAGAGCCAGGTGGCTGAGGCCAGGAAGGAAGGCCCAGCCAGGCCTTGCCACCTGCCCCTAGAGGCCTGTGGGAAAAGGACAGGTCAGGAAGGGTGGGGACAGGGGCTCGACCAGCTCAGACCCAAGATGGTGCCATGCTTACTTGCTGAGTCCCCCATGAGCTGGGGTACTGCACTGGGGCCAGCGACTAGTTAGACAGGAGGCAGCAGCTTCTCAAGAAATTCCTTCACAGCTGCCATCTCCTGAGGACAGGAGCTGTGCATGACACCCAGGTATGTCTGGAACTGGACCCTGGCAGGTGTGACAACAGACTGGAGCTTCTCAGCCATCAGGGCCCCAAACCGTACGGGCACCATGGGGTCCAGCTCCCCATGGCACTGGAGGATGGCCAGGTCCTTGGCACTGCCATTAGCTGCCTGGGGGAAGGCCCGGTGCAGAGGCGGCCAGCAGCTCAAAGCCAGGATGCCAGCCAGAGGGTGGGGGCAGGTGAGGGCCATGTAGAGGGACAGGGCCCGGCCCTGTGAAAAGCCTCCCAGGATGATTTGATTGGCAGGGATCCCGTTCTTCATTTCATGCTCAATCAAGGCCTTGATGTTCTCTGCTGCCTTCTTGATGCCAGCCTCGTCCTCTGGGGCATCTGGACTCAGCCCCATCAGGTCAAACCAGGAGGGCATCACCATCTTCATGTTGAGGGTCACAGGGATCCTAGGCTCATGGGAACAGATGTACTTGACGTGAGGGAGCCGAATGGTGGAGAGGGCGTCAGCCCAGCTGTGCCCTGTTTCTCCAAGTCCATGTAAAAAAATAACCACGGCCGTTTCCCGCTCAGCTCCAGACACGGTGGCAGCATCGTTGAGCAGGGGCACAGACATGGTGTTACCACACATACACCACACGGCTCCATGGCAGGGGCCTCCACTCCCTGGGACTTCTGAGGCCGCTTGGGTGATTCTCCTCTTTCTCCCGCAGACACACACTCTTCCCCCTCGGCCGCCCCCGCCGGAACACTAATTTTTTTATTTTTTTATTTTTAGTGGACATGGGGTCTCCCTATGTTACTTACCTAGCCTGGTCTCAAACTCCTAGGCTCCAGGGATCCTCTTGCCTCAGCCTCCCAAAGTGCTGGGATTACCACGCTCAGCCCATCACTCCCTGTGTTCCTTTCATTTATTTTTTTCTTTGAGACAGAGTCTTACTCTGTCACCCAGGCTGGAGTGCAGTGGTATGGTCATGGCTCACTGCAACCTCAACCTCCCAGGCTCAAGTGATCCTCCCATCTCAACCTCCCTAGTAGCTGGCATTCCTTTTTATGGCTGAATAATACTCCATTGCCTGTACAGATCACAATTTATTTATCCATTCATCAGTTAGTGGGCATTTGGGCTGTTTTCACCTTTTGGCTATTATAAATAATGTTGCTATAAACATTTGTATACAAGTTTCTGTGTGGATATATATCTTCATTTTTCGTGGGTATATACCTGGGAGTAGAATTGCTGGATCATCTCATAGATAAACAAAGCCAGACACTAGCTAAAGTGGTAAGGACAGGACAGGCACAGAGGCTCACGCCTGTAATCCCAGCGCTTTGGGAGGCCGAGGCAGGCGGATCACTTGAGGCAAGGAATTCGAGACCAGCCTGACCAACATGGTGAAACCCCATCTCTACTAAAAAACAAAAATTAGCTGGGCATGGTGGTGCACACCTGTAATCCCAGCTACTCAGGAGGCTGAGGCAGGAGAATCGCCTGAACTCGGGAGGCAGATTTTGCAGTAAACCAAGATTGTGCCATTGCACTCCAGCCTAGGCCACATAGCAAGTCTCCGTCTCAAAATAATAAATAAATAAATAAATAAATAAATAAATAAATAAAGTGGTAAGAACAGATTTTAATCAGTGACATATTATTGCAATAGGGAAAAGAGCCTAGCTTGAACTGAACTCAACTTTGATTTGTAGAGATAACTGGGCATTTTAAAGCAAGAATGAAAGAACAGAGAGGGTGAGTGGGGACTCAATGACGTCAGAGAAGTGACAGATTACAAAAAGTGGGAAGGGGGTTGGTCTGTGTTAAGCCCACCTGGCCTTGTTAGCTGGGGCTTATCATTAGGCTCCTACACTCTCACAGCAGCTGGGAAACAGGGGCCTTACCTTCATCTGTGGGCTGGAACAAACAGTACATTCTTTTGGCAGCCTTGAGTTCTCTCAGTCAGACACTTTAAAGGGCATTAGGGTCATCCTAGAGATGTGGCCTTGAACTGTTAGAAACTATGTTAGTGTTCATGAAAGTCTTTATCAAGTCGGACGCAGTAGCTCATGCCTATAATCCCAGCACTTTGGGAGGCCGAGGTGGGCGGGTCACT
>NW_003315921.1:0-124736 GCF_000001405.40 Homo sapiens
GATCATTCTTATCATATTTTTTGGAAACATCTGAAATGAATGGAGCACTCCCTTCCTTTCAGTTTATGTACCTTTGGATGAATCACTTATTGCTAAAATGAGGCAGGGCTCAGAGTGTGGAAATCTCATTTACATAAATAAGTTAACAAAATAGAAAAAGTCTAATTATAACGATGTCACTCATTTCTGTAAACATCAGCTGTATTGGATCAGCCAAAAACACATTATAATAAATAATAATTTTATTTTAATTTTCTATGTGTTGGATATCTTCTATTTACCATTCTAGATCTATACCATCCTCTTCTACCTTACTTCTTGCCTGGAGGCTGACCTGTATGGACTATATCAGCATGCTTGCCTTCTTGCGTCCAGCTGGATTTTACCAATGAGTACCTCTTGGCAGGAGATTAGAGGAAGAGAAGAGATGGCTATTTATTCTCCCAGCTCCTTCCCTGAAAAATTACATCCCCTTTCAAGGTAACCCTATCTATGCTATCTCCTTCTGGGTCCTAGTAAACGCTTCCTTGTATCCCTTTAGGCCCAAAGATATTGACAACCTTCTTGTTACTATTCTCAGGATATTACACTATCTTTGGTTTCTTTACATCCTGCTCACATTTGTAAATAGTTTATTTATTACACATATCTTGACCTTTTACCTAATGCATGCCATGTGTTTCTTGCCATGTGGCCACGGGTGGTTGCCGTGACTAATTCAGTCCGCCAGTGGGCAATACAATTATGTTTCTCTTAAATTCTGTTACAAGAAAAAAAGTATATACCACATAACTTGTAAAAGGATTTGTTGGACCAACACTTGTCCAATATGGTAGCCACTAGTCACATTTGTCTAAATTTAAATTAACTGAATGAAATCAAGTTTGAAATTTAATTCTCAGTCACATAAACCACATTTCAAGTTCTCAATATTCACGTGTGTCTAGTGGCTACAACATGGGACAGGGAAGACATCGGACATTTCCATCATTGCAGAAAGCAATGCTTTAGACAGTTATTTGTATAGTAAGTATGCAATTTAAAATCTACACTGGGACAACATTTATAGTTTTGAAAACTATTTATAAAATGAAAATTATTTTTCTTATATTCATTATCCTATAAAATCATTCCATTCAAAAATTATTTTCAAAAATAAAATTTTTCTTAAAAATTATTAATAAATACTATATATCCGATTTATGTAGACTGAAGCAAAATTTTTGTAAAGCTTATTTATGTTGAGTATCTGAACATTAAAAATAATATAAGCATAATGTATTAGAGTGATTTCAAACATACCTGCTATATTAGTTTCCTGTGACCGCCATAACCAAATACCACAAACATGGTGACTTAAAACAACACAAATTGATTCTCTCACAGTTCAAGGCCAGAAGTCCAAAATCAAGATATCAGTGCTTCCTTCAGAGGCTCTAAGAGATTCTGTTCCTTGTCTCTTTCAGCATCTGACAGATGCCAGCATTCCTTGGCTTGTGGCTGCATATGCCTCAATCTTCACATGGTTTTTCTTCTGCCTGTGTGGCTCTCCTTTGTGTGTCCCTTATAGGAACACTTGTCATTGGATGAGGGTCCCCCTAGGTAAGACAGGTTGATATCCTCATCTCAAGATCTTTAACTTAGTTACATCTGCAAAGGCCCCTTTTCCAAGTAAGGTAACATTCACAGGTTCTGGGAATTAGGACATAAGCATTTATTTGGGGGCCACTATTCAACCCACTGTAAGGACCAAGAGTTTTTTGCATATCATATTTGCTTGTGGCTTCTCTAATCAAGAGATGAGGGTAAACCATATCTGGTCTGATCTTGGGACTTGTTTTGACCAATAGAATACAGCAGACATGACATTCTAGGACTTTTGGGTCCAGGCCTGCAATGTTCACACAGCCTCTGCTTTTGATCAGAGGGAAAAACAGCTGCTATGTGAGGAAGTTCACTTATTGTCCTTGAGAGAGTGGCCACATGGAGAGAAAAAACCTCTGATGCATGAGACACTATGGAGGGATGTAGAAAGAAGCCCAGCCAGCCCCTGAACTACAGGTAAAAACTGGAAGAACAATGGGACTATTTATGGAAGTTAGAAGATCAGTAAGCAAATTATTATTGGAGGCTGGAGAAGAATGCCCAATATTAAGCAGTGAGGAAACATTTGAAAAAACTATTAAATGCAGAAATATAAAGATAGAAAATATACCTAAGGATTTTGTGGATCTGGCTAAGCAGGTTTCCAGGCAATTTTTTTTTTTTTTTTTTTGAGACAGAGTCTCGTTCTGTCACCCAGGCTGGAGTGCAGTGGCGCGATCTCGGCTCACTGCAACCTCCACCTCCCGGGTTCACATCATTCTCCCGCCTCAGCCCCTCTAGTAGCTGGGACTACAGGTGCCTGCCACCACGCCTGGCTAATTTTTTTGTCTTTTTAGTAGACACAGGGTTTCACCGTGTTAGCCAGGATGGTCTTGATCTCCTGACCTCCTGACCTCGTGATCTGCCCGCCTCGGCCTCCCAAAGTGCTGGGATTACAGGTGTGAGCCACTGCGCCTGGTCTCCGGGCAAAATTTTGCATGTGCAACTGGCTTCTGATATGGTTTGTCTGTGTCCCCACCCAAGATGTCCCCTCATCTTGAATTGTAACTCCCACAATTCCCACGTGTTGTGGGAGGAACCTGGTGGGAGGTAATTGAATTATGGGACAGATATTTCCTGTGCTGTTCTCGTGATAGTGAATAAGCCTCATGAGATCTGATGGTTTTAAAAACAGGAGTTTTCTTGCACAAGCTCTCCTCTCTTATCTGCTGCCATGTGAGATGTGCCTTTCACCTTCTACCAGGATTGTGAGGCCACCCCAGCCACGTGGAACTGTAAGTCCATTGAACTTCTTTCTTTTGTTGCAAATTGCCCAGTCTTGGGTATGTCTTTATCAGCAGCATGAAAATGGACTAATTGGTACCAGTAGAGTGGGGTGCTGTTGAAAAGATACCCAAAAATGTGGAAGTGACTTTGGAACTGGGTAACAGGCAGAGGTTGGAACAGTTTGGAGGGCTCAGAAGAAGACAGGAAAATGTGAGAAAGTTTGGAAGTTCCTAGAGACTTGTTGAATGGCTTTGCCAAAAATGCTGATAGCAATATGGACAGGCTGAATTGGTCTCAGATGGAAATGAGGAACTTGTTAGGAACGAGAGCAAAGGTGACTCTTGTTATGTTTTAGCAAAGAGACTGGTGGCATTTTGCCCCTGTCCTAGAGAGTTGTGATACTTTGAACTTGAGAGAGATGATTTAGGGTATCTGGCAGAAGAAATTTCTAAGCAGCAAAGCATTTAAAAGGTGACTTGTGTGCTGTTGAAGGTATTCAGTTTTATAAGGGAAGCAGCACATAAAAGTTCAGAAAATTTGTAGCCTGACAATTCAATAGACAAGAAAACCCCATTTTCTGAGGAGAAATTCAAGCTGGCTTGCAGAAATTTGCATAACTAACTAGGAGCCAAATGTTAATCCCCAAGACAATGGGGAAAATGTCTCCAATGTGTCAAAGGTCTTCATGGCAGCCCCTCCCATCACAGACCTGGAGGCCTAGGAGGAATAAGTGGTTTCGTGGGCAGGTCCCAAGGTACCTGTGCTGTGTCCAGCCTAGGCTGTGGCTCAGGCTGTGGTTTCAGAGGGTGCAAGCCTCAAGCCCTGGCAGCTTCCATGGGGTGTTGAGCCTGCCAGTGCAAAGAAGTCAAGAATTGGGGTTTGGGAGCCTCCGCCTGGATTCCAGAGGATGTATGGAAACACCTGGATGTCCAGGCAGAAGTTTGCTGCAGGGGCAGGGATCTCATGGGGAACTTCTTCTAGGGCAGTGCAGGAGGGAAATGTGTGGTTGGAGCCCCCACACAGAGTTCCTACTGGGGCAACACCTAGTTGGGCTGTGAGAAGAAAGCCACCATCCTCCAGACCCCAGAATGATAGATCCATCGATCACTTGTACCGTGCACCTGGAAAAGCCACAGACACTCATGCCTGCCATGACAGCAGCCAGGAGAGGGGTTATACCCTGCAAAGCCACAGAGGCTGAGCTGCCCAAGAGCATGGGAAACTACTTCTTTCATCAGTGTGACCTGGATGTGAGATTTGGAGTCAAAGAAGATCATTTTGGAGCTTTAAGATTTGACTGACCCACTGGATTTTGGACATGCATGGGGCCTATAGCCCCTTTGTTTTGACCAATTTCTCTCATTTGGAATGGCAGTATTTACCTAATGCCTATACCCCCATTGTATCTAGGAAGTAACTAACTTGCTTTTGATTTTACAGGCTCATAGGTGGAAGGGACTTCTTTTATCTTAGATGAAACTTTGGACTATGGACTTTTGAGTTAATGCTAAAATGAGTTAAGACTTTGGGGGACTGTTGGGAAGGCATGATTGGTTTTGAAATGTGAGGACATGAGATTTGGGAGGGGCCAGGGGCGGAATGTTATGGTTTGGCTGTGTCCCTACCAAAATCTCATCTTGAATTGTAACTCCCATAATTCCCATGTGTCGTGGGAGGAACCTGGTGGGAGGTAATTGAGTTATGAGGGCGGGCCTTTCTTGTGCTGTTCTTGTGATAGTGAATAAGTCTCATGAGATCTGATGGTTTTAAAAATGGGAGTTTCCCTGCACAAGCTCTCTTCTCTTGTCTGCCACCATGTGAGTCGTGCCTTTCACCTTCCACCATGATTGTGAGGCCTCCCCAGCCACATGGAACTGTAAGTCCATTAAACCTCTTTTTTTGGTTACAAATTTCCCAGTCTTGAGTGTGTCTTTATAGCAGCATGAAAACAGACTAATACAGCCTCTTATATTACATATTAAAAGGTATTGCAAAAATGATATTGACTAAGCAGGAATGATTCCATTTTCAAGTCAAATGTAGAGAAAATATTTCCAACTGAGGACTTGCTGAGTAGGAAAATAAAATATTTTCTCATTCCCACATTCTTGAGTTAGAAAAATATTCTAAAAGTGAGAAAGAGCCCCAGGAAAAAGATAGAATTCAGGAATTGTCAATAAAACGTGGCCTTAGTGTAAAGATCAAATCAACAGTGTAGTTACAAGATCCCTAATTTAACTCAGTGCCTCATCAACCTTCTCAGCTAGACAAAACAGCTTGTAAGAATTTTAAGAATATTATTCCACAACACTCTGACTCAAAGCCTGCATTAGAGAAGGTCTTGTCTTGAAGAGATTTGTATGTGTGACTTTTTCACTTATAAGAAGATTTATTTTGGATTTTGGATTTAGAATTTGATACACAGGAAGCACATTAAATTTCTTAAGGTATTATATCAGCTTGAACTAAAAAAGGACATGGAAGGTGAAATATGACAAAAGGTCTTTTTTTTAATTTCATTTTTCTCTGGGCCCTCAACTTGCTTTGCAAAAGGTAGACTGGGACAGCTACATGATGGCAAGCATGGAAAATTTCCTATGAACAAAGGAAATATGATTCAGAGGGTGGAGCCCAGAGCCCTGCAAACAGAAGTATAAGCTATTAGAAGCAATGGATTAGGTAATCACTTCCATATAGCAAAACTGAACCTGAATCAAGAAACATTCCTTGCCTTCAGATTAGGGGACACTGATAAGATGAGCCTGGCTGTAATTCAGAATTTCTGTTGACTAGTGACTGCTTTGTGCCTTCATTTCTCCCTTTTATAAATGAATGTCTAATATGGTTATTCTAGTCTGTCTTAACATTATATTGTTGGGCATGGAGGTACAGATAACTTGCATTTTTGCTTCACAGTTCATATCAAAAGGAGCTGCACTTATGAAATTTCATGCACATCTGTATGATCCCAATGTAGATCAAGAGATACTGGGCATAGGATTTGATATTATAATTTGTTGAGACTTTGGGAGTCTTTGGAACAGTTGACTATAGTTTGCATATGGAAGTAATGTGAGTTTTTGTGGCCAGAGGGCAGACTGTGGGAGATTGTATGTAACTACAGCCAGTAAGAATTATTTATGCACTTGCCAGTTCTCTGACCGAGAGAGCACATCTGTTTACTCATACCTTGAATCTGCACTGAACTTGTGATTTTTTTGACAAGTTTAATGCAGCAGAAGTCATATGCTTGGATTTTTGAGCCCAGACATTCAAATGTCATATAGCTTCTGTTTTCACTCAGAGAGGAAACAAGCAGCTATATAAAGAATCCATGTAAAGAGAGAGCATGTGCAGAAAAAGAGGCCCCAGAGTATAAGAGCCTGTGAAGGGAGAGATAGAGAGGATCAGCCAGGTCCCAGCCACTTCAGTCAAACATTAGAGAAATGTGACATGTGAGCAAAGCTATCATGGATTCTCCAGTCAATGCACATGTTGCAGAAATGAGCTTTCCCTTTTGAGCACTGCTTAAATTCCTGAACAGCAGAACTGTGAGAGTTAAATGATGGTTTTAAGCCAACAGTGTGACACAGGTTCACTGTGCACTGGTTACCAACTTGTCTGAATCCAGTGAGATAGAACTGTCACATACAAGTTCCATGAAGCAGGCTTATTACTTACAGATAGGGAGCAAGGGACAATAGAAGCCTAGGATTCACTATGAGCCAGTCCCCTCTCTACAGGGGGCAGAGGGATATCATACACCCATACCTAAGTAAATGTTTTATTTTAAAGAGTCCAGTTTACTCTGCTGGGAATTACCAGCAAAGAAAAGAGAAGGTATTGAGTCCCTAGTAATTGTAGAGTTTACAAAAAGTAAATTGATGATTGCTATTAAATAAATTATGTATCACAAAACAACATCAAATAGTTGAATAAACACAATAACTGAGGAGTGACAGTGAGCAGGAGATTCGTGTCTCTGTTAAATAAAATAAAGATGATTTTTCTTATAAATGGCCTTTTTGGAAAAACTTGATGCAAGTAAACATGGACATTTTTGTCGCTTCTTCCTTGAAACCATGCACATATGCAACTGAGACACAGGCCATGATGCAGGTTAATAATGCAAATTATCAAGCTCATTCTCACTACTGAGAATCATAAAGATGCAGAGAGAACACACATCTTAACCGACTGGAACTTCCTAGCATGGTTTCCGGTTAAATATTCTAGTTAAATAGATAAAAACCTTTGATAAAAAATTATTTCATAAGTTTGTCACTTGTACAAAATAACACACCTATGCCTTCAATATTTCTTACTGATAATCTCTTTTCTTTTCCTCTGCCAATATATCATATTTCAATTTTGACATTTTAAACCCTTTGGTTTGATGAGGGTTTTTTCCACCCTGGAAAAATGTGTGTAGTTGGATTCAAGAAGAGTAAAAGGTTTGTTCTTGAGTACATTGGGAGAAAGGTGATAGTGGTGAGAGATAAGAGGAGAACTACCAGAGGGATATACTGTAGGCAGGTGTGTTTTAGGAAAGAGAACATATGGAGGGTAAGGACTTGGATTCTTTAAAGAAATTATTTATTAATTTCAACTTTTATTTTAGGTTCGGGGGTACATGTGCAGGTTTTTTACATAGGTATATTGTATGATGCTGAGGTTTAGGGTATGAATGATCCCATCACTCAAGCAGTGAGCATAGTACCCAATAGGTAGATTACTAGTGGTCTCTAGTGTCTATTGTTCCCATGTTTATGTCCATGAGTATCCAATGCTTAGCTCCCACAATGCTTAGTTCTCACTTATAAGTAAGAACATGCTGTATTTGGTTTCCTGTTCTTGACTTAATTCACTTAAGAACCTGGATTCTTTAAAGCCACCCCCCATGACCCCACCCAACATGGTCTCTTAGGGCAAGTCGGCATGTACTCTGATATACCCAGACTCGTTTGAAGAGTGCTACTTTACATTATCTTACATTGGGTAATCAAGCTTTTTAATTGTTTATCCACAATGGGTTAATAGCTACTACACTGTCATAGCCTGCAGTGTTGATGTATTCACTTCTGCCCAGGAAGGCGAGAGTATTTTGTGTGATCCTCATTTTTGTGACTTTAAATCAGATGAGACTTCAAATTTACACATTTTCTTCCATTGCTCTGTGCTTTATTACATGGTTAAGTGCTTTAAGATTTATTAAATCCAGGTGTTTTATTTCTCAGTAATCACCAGAACTCACCTGATTTGATTATGCCAATCTGTTATTTTTAAGAATTGTTTTTTTTAAAATATTCTTTCCCAGTTAATATTGTATATGTGGCTTTCTTGATTTAAAAATATATTAAGAAATGTTGTAATTTTATGAAAGATCATGTGAAAAAGTTTACTGAAGCATTTGTTTTCCTTATGCTATTAACAAAGCTTAATAACAAAGAATGTATTCTAGAGTAATATTTGGGGCTATTTCTAAAACACATTTCTTGCAGTGATCTCTACACTTTCCTCATGAATACAAAGCAATGTGTTTCTGTTTTTCTGGGCATAGAAGTGGATAGCACAATGATATAACTCCTTATTCACAACATCATTGCAGCTCCATATTAAAAACATTTTTGCTTAAATAATGAGCATTTTTGCTTATCCATAAAGAACCCACGAGACACAAAAAAATGTTTTTCCCAGATGGTCCTTTTTGCATGAAAATTACTAACCCAGACATCAAAAGCAAACAATAAAGTGTTGAAATATGTAATTTGGGCCAAAACAACAGAGTCTGGAACTTCCACGGGCTTTGTGATTTTAAGAGAACAGCTGGGTGTGTGCAGGCAGTCAGCCCAGCTATGACTCTGAACCTCTGTTGTGTTTCTTTTTCTATACAGTCACTATGGGTACAGTTTCCTTCTTTTGGAAATGGAAGCATGGTTATAATAATTCTTGAACTTGAGAAAGGCATAGGCATTTGCTTACCTTTTATAAAAGGGGTAAATCATTTTTAGTATTTATGGTGTAATCAGTTGTTTTTGTTTGCCTGCTATTCATTTGCGTTTTTGCTGGTAAAATAACCAATATGTTCCTTGGGGAACTACCCCTTTCTCCACAGACTCAGCCATGGTTGTCCCACAAGACACATAGCCTTGATTTCAAGTTGTCTAGGAATCAGCCATATATAATACAATCACAACCTCAGTCCTTTCGTCAGGATACACCCACAGCGCTGGAGGTACTGGTCCAAGGAAGTTTTGGTATCAGCTGTGCACTAAGTCCAGAATGAGTGCTTCCTCCATCTGATTAAGGCCCTGACACTGAATCAGGGTCACCAATGCAGACTCTTCTCCCTTATCACAAATTCTATCTTTGGACTTAATTACCTTTGCTGGTCATCTTCACCAGGGCTTTGGAGGCCCATCAGGCCATTTTGACAACTCTGAACTTGAGAGTGGAAATCTGAGCTGGACACTCACTTGAGGAGGGCTATGAGACACCATCTACTCAAAGGGCCAGAGCCCTGGTCGAGATCTCACAAAGATCCAATTATCTCCCCTTATCAGCTCATGGGTGGTTATTTCCTTTACATGTATATCACACAAGGAACAATTTGGGGATTCCCCCACCCACCCCGAAAAAGAATCCAGCTCCAAAGGTAAACTGACATCTCCGTTATCAGAGACAGAAAACTATCAACAATTTTTAAGGAACCTGTTACCAGTTTAAAAGAAAATAGTACTATATATACATATATATAGTGCATCTTTAAAAGAATTAGGCAGAGTATACATATTTAATTTTAAAACTATGATGATTGCTTCCTGCTCCTCTCCTCCTCCACGGGCTCCCTGGAGTCCTTGCAAGCTGGCCAGGATGTCTCAGGCTGAGTTTGAGAGAGCTGTGGAAGACGTTAAACACCTTAAGACCAAGCCAGGGGATGATGAGATGTGTTCCTCTATGGCCACTACAAACAAGCAACTGTGGGCGACATAAATACAGAATGGCCTGGGATGTTGGATTTCAAAGGCAAGACCAAGTGGGATGCCTGGAATGAGCTGAAAGGGACTACCAAGGAAGATGCCATGAAAGCTTACGTCAACAATGTAGAAGAGCTAAGGAAAAAACATGGAATGTAAGAGACTGGATTTGGTTGCCAGCCATGTGTTTATCCTAAACTGAGACAGTGCCTTGTTTTTCCTAATACTGCAGATGATGGAAACTAGGGAAAATAACCAGTTAACCCAGCTCCTCAAGGCTGCTCACCATAGGGCTCTAACAGATTAGGGGCTAAAACAATTACTGACCTTCTCTGAGTAGTTTTTATCTGATATCAATTAAAAGTGTATTTGTGTTAAAAAGAGAAAACTATAATGAACGCAGGTTTTGGATAATTAAGAAGCAACCTCAACAAGTTTCTGAGATCCATTATTATAGAAGTATGGAGTAACAATTAACAGGGCATTCTAGTTAACAGAAGCCTGAACACAAGATTATTTCTTGTATTTATTATGTATTTGCATGCACATTGCAAGATCTTAAGAAATTCACTAAGTAGTCATAACCTTTGCTTTCTAGGAATCTAGACTATGACGTTAAAAGAACGGCATTTTCATGATCACCCCAGTGTAAACCTGACACTCCCCATCATTACTAACATTCTTTCAGATAATGTCTGAATTTCCTCCCACTTTCATTGTGGGTATTGGGAGGGCAAAGAGTAGAAAACAACAACTTAGGGAATGCACAAACATGGAATTGGGATTTGCAAACCATATTCAGGAAGAGACAGCTTTGGCTAGAGCAATAGTTTTAATGATTTAATGGTTTTTAATTTTTTTTTAAGGGCTTTGTTTAGATGTCTCAGGATTCTTTGAACTTCCCATGGCACGTGGGGAGTGGGCATCAAGTGGATGGGGCTGTAATGTTTTTAGGCACTACAATGAACTGAATGATTATATTTCTCCCCAGACTCATATGTTCAAATCCTAACTCCAAATGTGATGGTATTAGGAGGTGAGACCTTTGCAAAGTGATTAGATCATGAGGATGGAACCCTCATGAATGGGACTAGTGCCCTAAAGTAACCCCAATTACCTCTCTGGCTTTCTGCCATGTGAGGATACAATGAGAAGTCAGCTGTCTGCAACCTAGAAGAGGCCCCTGACCAGAACCCAACCTTGCTGGTACCCTGTGTTAGTCTATTTTTGCATTTCTACAAAGAAATATCTGAGGCCAGGTGATTTAAAAAGAAAAGAAGTTTAATTGGCTCACAGTTCTGCAGGCTGTACAGGATGCATGGTGCTGGCATCTGCTTCTGGTAAGGAACTCAGGAAGCTTACAATCATGGCAGAAGGCAAAGAGGGAGCCAGTGTTATCACGTGTGAGAATGAGAGCAAGAGAGAGAGAAGGGGGAGGTCCCAGATTCTTTTAAACAACCAGATCTCACAAGAACTAAGGGAGAACTCATTTACTACCAAGCGGATGATGCTAAACCATTCCTGAGGGCTTCGCCTCCATGATCCAATCACCTCCCACCAGGCCCCACTTCCAACACTGGGAATCACCGTTCAGCATAGATTTGGAGGGGACAAACTTTCAAACCATCTCATACCCTGACCTTGGACTTCCAGCCTCCAGACTATAAGAAATAGATATCTGTTGTTTATAAGCCACCAATCTATGGTGCCCTATTATAGCAGCCTAAACTGGCTAAGACAGGTGCTATTTTTTCCATGTTCCAAGTTTCTTGCTCACCATCCTCATAATTTGGAACCTTCTTTTCTAATTACGGATATATTAACAGCATATACTAGGAGGCTGTCAACTTAGGGCCTATCTTTTTAAAGTGACCTTGAATATGTTTTCCCTTATCTAGAAGGATCTCTATAGTGAGTTGTTTCAGATATGTGGGCTCTAGAACTAGACTGATGGATTCAAATACTGCCCTGCCACTTACTTGCTCTTTTACTTTGAGTAAGTTAAACAACCTTTCTGTGCCTTAGTTTTCTCATCAGCAAAATGAAGTTAATATTAGAATCTCTCTCATAAGCTTGTTATGAGAATTAATGCACTAATACAGGAATTGGCAATTTTTTTCTGTAAAGAACCAGATACTAAATAGTTTAGGCTTTGTAGACTATGTAGTCTCTGTTGCAACTACTCAAGTATGCCCTTGTATTAAATAGAGTGGAAGCAGCCATGGATAATACCTGAATGACTTGGTGTGGCTATGTTCCAATAAAATCTTACTTACAAAAACAGGCAGCGGGCTGAATTTGGCCTACAGGATGTAGTTTGCCAATCCCTGGAATACTTGTGCACCAAAACTTAGGCCCATTGTAAGAACTCCAAAAATATTAGTTTTTTTTTTTTTTAAATCATCGTGGTCATTGTCATCATCATCAGCAGCATCATCATATACTCATATACTCATTCAACAAAGGATAATAAATCCTATGTGCTAATTTTACTGTGTAGTTCTCAGTGTTGTTCAGACTTTGCTACTTCTATGCATTTCCTACACTCAGGGCTCAGGTTCTCAAACCTTCCACTAAACTTCCTCTACCAGCAGAAGGAGTAAAACTTCATCCCATGGTTCTGGGGCTGGCAATAGCCCTAAATGCAGAACATGCCTTTCAAGTGTCAGAATTTATCTTAAAAAACCGTGTAGTGTTTGCATTTTACTCCATAGTATATTTATGTTTCCTTTAATACAAAAAAATGACTGAAACCATTCATCATTGAGTAAAACTGACCATGTTTACCAAGCATCTTCTGGTTTTCCATCACATGTACATTTATACAAATTTGAGAAACGAGGCCTATGATAACAGGAACTTAAGCTTTGAGGTAGGTCACCTGCTTAGACTTTAATAGCCTTGGTATTCTCTGTGGGTATTAGATCTTTCTTAAACACAAAGTAAGGGAATAAAATTAGACAACATAGACACCAAAAAGTTCACTGAAAAATTTAGATAACTCCATTCATTGTCTTTCACTTGGCAGGCGACAAAGTACGTGTCTGGACTCCTGCAGCTCTGATCTTACCCTCATGGCTCAGGAGTGTTGACGACATACAGGAAATCAGCATGTGCCCATTAAGTCATACAAAAAATAAAATTATAAAAAAATATGAAAGAGAATGTGTGTGAAGGAGACTATGAGCTGAAGCATATAAAATTTTCAATATTTGAACAGTTGTGGCAGTTTCTATGGTTCAACCTAATACTTCTCCAAAGCTTGTTAACCAGCAATGGGCATAGCACTGATTTTTAAGTGAAATATTACCACTGTAGGTCATAATAAGAATAGCACTTTCGGGCTGGGCACAGTGGCTCACACCTGTAATCCCAGCACTTTGGGAGCCTGAGGCGGATGCATCAGGAGGTCAAGAGATCAAGACCATCCTGGCCAACATGGTGAAACCCCGCCTGTACTAAAAACAAAAATTAGCCGGGTGTGGTGGTGCACGCCTGTAGTCCCAGCTACTCGGGAGGCTGAGTCAGGAGAGTTGCTTGAACCGGAGGCAGAGGTTGCAGTGAGCCGAAATCGTGCCATTGCACTGCAGCCTGGCAACAGAGAGAGACTCCGTCTCAAAAAAAAAAAAAAAAAAGAATAGCACTTTCAGACTCTGTATAAAAAGTGCCCCCAGAATACAGAATATGGAAATAGAAAGCAAAAGTTAGTGGGTAATGCTGAAAACAATCAGAACAGTAGCCTAAGGGTTTGAATTGTGATCAAGGTTCATAGTCAGAATAGATATAGTTTCAGACATTTTTGAGAAATGATCCTTGTGGGTGCTTCTTGATCCAGCAGGTGCTAAGAAATAAAACATCAGGACCAAAAGAATTAGCCTTGAGCATTGTATGAAAACACTTGGAAAGATGAAGTCCCCTGTGTTCTTCATGGCCATAAGCAAAGTGCATTTATTCAACCATTTTATCAGTGTGAGGTGGAGAGAAGCAGATGTTGTTTCACTCTTCCTCTGTTTTAATCAGTTGCCAGACAATACTCTGAAGACATATGACAAATTTCTGTTAGCATTTCCCTTAGTAGCCAGCTTAGCACCCACAGCAGACTTTTCAGACTCTTATATTCTAACCAAGATACATTCTTTCCTAAGTCATTTAAATTCCAGTTCTTATCTCAAATCTTAAGTTTTATATAGGGGTGAATAGACTGGTGATGAAACCACACAGATAGAGAAAGTAGCCAAACAATAGCACCACTGACATATGAAGAGTGTAAGTATGAAATATGCATGAAATTTTGCAAGTTAGGGTAGATCAGCCCTATATGAGTCTTCAGATATTAAATTCCCGAGTCTAGATCTGGAGAAATAGAAGCTCAGAATGAGAATTTGGGTAATCAAGGAGGAAAGCAGAGCGTTTCTAAGCACATGTGAGTGTTTCTACCTGTGGAATGGCACACTTTATGTAGCCTTGGAGTTTAGATTTGCTGCCTTCATTCTGTCTTAGATTGTATGACTTGAAGCTTCAAATGACAAGGCAGGGGGAGAAAAACAAAACAGTTAAACCAATTTCAGAAGAATTTGTGAAAAACTAGTCAACATTTTCTGATGGAAATAACTGTCAAGTTGACAAGAAACTTGGCCTCCTACTATATCAAAAATTTGATCCAAATGGAAAACATTTTCTAATTAAAATTCCTAAACATACACAGAAGTTAAAAAGGATAGTTTAAAAAACCCACCTATATTCAATTTTCAAAATGTTTCCCTTCTTGCTTTATCTACCCCTTTGGTTGTTGAGGTGTTTTAAAACAAATCGCAGTTGCACATCATTTCACTCCCATCCATCATTTCTTAAAAATTAAGGATATTTTCTTTTATAACTATATTGCCACTTGGGAAAAATTTTAAATGATTATTTATCACTAAAAAATGTGTACTGACTGTTTATCTTCCTCCTCATTGCAAAAATGCATATAATAGGAGAAAAAGAAAAATAAGGGTAAGAAAGCAAAGTGAAGCCAGGAATAAGAGTATTGAATATCAGTGTATACAGAAGGTCCCATTCTAATCTTAAACTCAGTCGCTTGCTTCACCAGGACCAAGGCAGGAGGGAAACTCTGGCAGTCACAAGATTTAGTGTTTATGAAGGGGAACGGCATCATTTCTCTGGAGAACATAGCTTTTCCTGTCTGTAAGCTGTGTGGGGAATTTCTCCTGGATGTCTTCATGAAGAAGACGGTATGAGATTTATTGGCCAATATACTTTACAAAATCCCCACAATAAATACAAAAGAGGTTTTGTGCCACTCCTTGTTAGAGTGTCCTCGTTGCATACCAAGGTCTAACGCTGAATCCAGCTGAGTAAAAGTTGTCTGACAAGGGGCCAGAGCTGTGTGTCTTGTCCACCTGGTGGCTGCCATCCCAAGGTACAGCAGAAAGCCCATTCATTTAAAATAAGCTTTTAAATCTCCCTCTCAGACTCCCAGTGTCCCAATTCCTCCATTAATAATACAGCCCTAATTTTAAAAACTTGAATCCAGCTGTTACTACTTTTAAATGCTGTTATCCATTGCAAGTCAGTGTGACACCAAATGTATCTTCCACGTTCGTTCATCATTTCTGAGTTTGGCCCAGCCACTGGGTTTTTTTCCCCTGTTGTTCAGGAGGGTTGCAAATGGCAAAAGCAATCAATCTATGAAGCAAATCAGTGTGAACAGCTATTGCGGGGAGAGCTAACCCTGCAGCTATCTGCTATTTTTTTTTTGAAATAGAAGCTGAGCTTGTCTTTGGATCTAATGACTGGAATACCCATGGACTAAAGGGACTGTCTCCCTTCAGCTTTTAGAAAATTCTCATACTCTGGGCCAGCTTAGCCGATAGTTTCCAAGCTGCAGGAACAGCTTGAGGCTGAGGGCGGTGGTCCTGCTCCATCAGTCGTGGGAACCAGGTGGCTCCCGGCATCCTCGGCTCTCTCACCTCCACGCTGCTGCTGCCGCATTGATCCTCGACTAGCGCTCTGACTCCTCAACACTCTACCACCTACCAGCGATATCTCTGAGAATGGTGCAAAGTGGAATTTATTTGTGCCCTTGGTGTGTGTAACACAGCTCATCATGCTTTTAAAGATCTCCTCCTGGTTTCTGCTAACAGCCTTTGCTTGCTTCCTGCAGTTCTGTTCATCACACAGCTAAATAAACCTGCTTGACGTTGCCATCTCTCAGGAGTCCAACCAGAAAACACACTGAAATCATATACTTAGGTGAGATGACATCAAGGAACAATGAGATAAAACAACTCAATAACTAGGAAAAAAATTTTGAATGCACAAATATTTTCTTGTCAAACTTTAAAAAGAGAAAGAAAACAAAAATATTTTTAGAAATTTGAACATACCCACAGTGGTAAAATATGTCCTGCTCCCACATTGCATATTTTCCTGGGTATAACATTCCTATTTTAAAATCATAGCAACAGATTCAAGAAACAAATGTCTTTGAAAATTCCATTTCATGGAAGTGTCACTGTATGCATTTAAACTTTTTTCCTACTGAAAATTATTGCAAACAGCATGAAAAACGTCAACACAGGAAACAGAATAAAAGTAATGGATGATCTTAAAAAAACAGAGGGATAAAAATGTCCGTGAAATACTATGCTCAAATGACTAATGTTAATATTTAGGTTAAATTATTCCCTGTAGGCAAGAAAATAAGATGCCCACAGAGTAATACATAAAATAATAGTAGCAGGGAAAATAAAGTTAGAAAAGTCAGTAATATATCCAGATCATTTTAGAAAGCTGACAGAGAGAATATCCAACAATAAAATAAAATTTGTTCATATTGCAAAAGAACAGAAAATTTCAGATTATTGTTGATTTTTCCACTATACCAAAAACATTATTAGATGTTTTATGTTGCTTTTGGCCTGTAATATCCAGATTATCTGTTCTATTTCCTCTATCACTTTGCAGATGTCTTACTTTTAATTCTGTCACTCTCTCCAATGTATATACTCATTCACTTATTTTTAGATTTCTACATATAATTAAACAGTATTCATTCATTTTCCTAAATACAGCCTTTTCTTTGGAATCTTTACCATTAAAAAGTCTAGATGTTGAATCCTACTTTCCTGTTTTCCCGTCGACATTTGCTTTCCTAGATTCCAAAATAGCAAGTATCTCAGATGTACCTCACCATTACTCCATTTTAATTGAAGTCTTCCTGTTAGAATTATGTTCAGTACCCTGGGAGTTACAGTACAATGAAGAAAGTCACAATTAAATAAACAAAATAAAAAATAAACTGGAGGGTAATATGTAGATATTTGTCTGCAGGAAGTGAAGTCCAAGCTCCCTGTTAAAGAACAGGAAGGATTTAAGTGTAGAGAAAAGGGGAGGCTGTTTCTATGTACCAGGCTGTCACTGCTTATAGTTGCTTACAGCCAATTCCCATATTAATCTCCTTATATCTTTGTATGTATATCCTAATAGTCCTGTTTCTCTGGAGAACCCTAACTAATACAGAGAGTGAGCTGTTTATCATTATCAGAAGGGCCTTACAGTGACATAGCCTGGCACATAGAAGGGGTGTTATGTATACCACTTAGCCGCAGAGGGGAAACCTAGACACTGGAGGGATGCCTGGCAGAGAGAGGGATAGAAACAGTTTTTCTTTGCTTATGATCGACGATCATAAAAGCCATACTGCTGACAAAGTCCAGCGCCAGCTCTAGAAGCTGTTGTATCCAACCTGCCCTCTTTAGTTCCACTGGGAGAAAGCATGGTCATTTACTCACTAAATATACCCCAAACCACACCAGAAGAAATAGGACCCTGAGGTCAGGGCCCATGATGAGCCACTCCAGGGGAGCCCTGAGCATGATTACAGTGTTTGGTAATGAAATGTTCCACACTACTCTAGATGTTACATTGCATATTGACTACCCAACTCTCAACACACAGAGAGCCCTTCTGGAACTCATCAGCATCTCCATCTACCATCACTGAGTCTTTTTCATTCTAATTAAGGGTTTCCAATTCTTAATTGCCTAAATCTCTCTGAGGGAGTCTCAATACACAAATCACAGATTGATTTGTTTGTAGTGGGACAAAATTACTGTTTTCCCCATAGTTTTAAATTCTCCTCTAAAGATCTATAAGAACCTGTGATTGGGGTCATTCTTTATATAAAGTAGTAGTGTATTACAGGAGGGAAGATTCTGAACAACCCAATCCATCTGTAGACTCACCATAGCACAGGATACCAAGGTTTACAACCAGGCTCCAAGAGTGGAATAAAGAGAGGAATGAAGATTAGAGAAAAGCCTTTGATTTTCTACTCAATATTCGAAGAAGTGAGGGTGAACATTCACTCTTCCTTTAAAATCAAGCCCAGAATCCTTCGTATTTTTGTCAGTGGCCATAGAGTATATTAACATCCTGGAAAGTCAGTTGTTCCAAGGGCACTTTCTAGATCCTCTTGGCCAGAAAACTGTCTTCCTTAAACCCAGAACCACGGCTTCCACTGCTTAATCAATAATAAATGATTGCCTCCATTCTGGCAGAGCTAGATGTCTGTAGAACTGATTGTCATGAAGAAAAACCTTTATCATTTTTTCTCCAATTTTTCCAGCTATCCAAGGACATTTACATTCTCAGTTACGAGTAGCAAGGCATGGGGCTATTATTTTAAATTCTGGGCATCGTTCTAGAAATACAGGAATTAGGAATAATCTTCTGTGGAAGGATGTCTAAGTATTGCAGGGGTTATTTGGACATCAGTGACAGCCTGGTGCATACTTCCAGTTGAAATAGTTAAGAAATCATATACTAGCTTCCACTGAGTTGATCTAGCTAGGGCCTCATTTTCATATCCTACCATTTTGAGAGGTAGGAGTTCTTTAGAAAAAGATTGGTTCTAAGTGTCAGAAATGACAACTCATGTCAATCTGTGTGCTAACTTCCATCAGAATACCTCTTGTTTTAGTATTAGGTATGGTTGAGTTGCACACAATTGTCATATGACTCAGTCATCCTAATGATTTTTCATTCTCTCTCTTTTAATGGTCAACTGATTAAAATAAGATGAACACAGAGCCTCCCAGCAATGAGTATCTCTGGGTGCACTCAGCTCCCTGGCTTCTGCTTTGGCTTATCATCTAACAATGCCTCTGACTCAGACTGTCTCCCACCAAGGCTGTATTTTGGTTGCCTGTTTCTACCGTGTGATCAAGACATTGGATGTGCCCAGATCCCAAGGGCCTTTCGCTGCCCTAGACACTCCTATCTAATCAGTATGAAAAATGTCCAATGTAGTAAATGCCACTTTAATTATAAGCTTGCTTCAACTGGATTAGAATCAAAATAAGCATGCTTAAGACAAAAATTAGGTCTGAGAAAGCAAAATTAGCAAAAGAGCTTCAGGGACAGGAATCCATTTCTATTTCAAGATTAAGTGATTTTCTTCTGTAATTCTCATTTTAATATTCTCTTTTCCACCATAAACCTACACCATCATCCAATGCCATGCATTTTTACTCAAGTAATTGTATTCTTCTTACTTGCCTTTCTGGTATGACTTCAGGTATACTGCCTTTCTGCACTTCAGGGCACCCCTAGTTTTGGATGCAGATGCTAAGCGTTAAAGCTATAACAGTAGAGGTTAGTAAGCAGTGGCAACAGTGGCTTTAGAGTTAGACTTGGTTTAAAATTCTGGCTCCAGCACTTGTTAGCAGTGTAATCTTTCACAGCATATTTACCCCTCTAAGCTTCAATTTCCTAGCTATAGAATAGTAAGAATAATAGTTATTTTGCAGTGTGATTTTAAAGACAAATCAACCAATGTTGATAATGCCTTTGGCAAGAGGCCTGGCGAATGCAGTATACCACCTGACAAATGCTACTTGTTGATATGAGTAGGAAGATGCTCACCAGATCCATGTGTAAATCTGGAATCAGGAAGACTCAAGCTCTGATGCCATCTCTAGCACTTAAGAGTTGTGAGGCTCTGGGCAAGTTGCTTAACCTCTCTTTGTTTTGCTGGCTCTTTTGCAAAATGGAGATAAAAACAGCTGTCTCACAGGTGTCATTTCTGGGTGCTGTGTTGATTAATACAAGCTTCTTCTAAAAGTTAAGGCTCAGCGGTATTTGTTTATAATGAATAAAGTGACCACCACCCGCCTTTGAAATACCCTGCTAATGAGAAAGAAAACATGATCATAATCTAAAGCTTTCCAGCGGCAGGTATTCTTGTTCTGTCCTCATGGCCATAAATAACACCTTCTATTCAATTTGTCCAAATTGTTCCCTACCAGATTTCCGACTACAGGCCAGGATCTCTGGCACTAAAACAGGCAGAGTAATGAACAAAGTGTTCTCTGCTTTTTATGCATGCTACAGATTTGGAGTACAGTAGGAGGGTAACCAGTGAAGCTGAGCCTAGGTCAAGGATGATAAGAGACTCCAAGAAACCACAGTGGTCTATTGTTGAAAATGTTGAAGAACCAGATACCTCAGTTGTTCTAAAAATAGGGGTCCTTTTTCTAAGCAGATATAAAAATACCGTCTAGAAACCAGCTATATCATAACAAGATATATAGAAGACAGAGTGTCATGGTTAATTTTACGTGTCAATTTGACTGACACATTAAGGGATGCCCAGATAGCCGGTAAAACATTTCTGGGTGTGTCTGTGAGGGTGTTTCTGAAAGAGAATAGCATTTGAATCAGTGGACTGAGGTAAAGAAGAGCTGCCCTCGTCAACGTGGTCAGCATCATCTAATCTGTTGAAGACCTAAACAGCACAAAAATGCAGAGGAAGAGCGAATTCTCTCTCTCCCTCTCTCTCTCTATCTCTCTCTCTGTCTGTCTCTCTCTCTCTCCATGAGCTGGGACACCTGTCTTCTGCTCTGAAATACTGGAGTTCCTGGCCTTCTGACTCTGGGACTTATACCAGCAGCTCCTATTGTTTCTCAGGCCTTTGGACCCAACCTGAATTACAGTCTGAATTTGGAGTTCTCCATCTTGCAGATAGCATATGATGGGACTTCTTTGCTTTCATAATCATGTGAGCCAGTTCCCATATTAATCTCCTTATATATGTATATCCTACCGGTCCTGTTTCTCTCGAGAACCCTAACTAATACAGAGAGTGAGATGTTTATCATTAGCAAAAGGGCCTTGTGACAGGTATACTATTGTCCCTAATTATTTGCTGCTACTCTCTGTAAGAAGAGTATACTTCTCCACCCCATTGATGGCAGGTTTGGTCACATGACTTGATTTGGCAAGTGAAATATGAGCAGTATGCCACTTGCAAACAGAATCTTTGAGAGCCACTGGTAATTCTTTGCTCTTAGACATTTCTTCAAAACATCTTCTCTAATGATTTCCTTATGCAGACCAGAAGTCCCTGTTGGACTTAACTGGACTCTTCTTGAAAAGGTTGCAAAGATCAGCTAGTAGTATGTTTAGCATTTCACTTTACAATGTGGGAGCACGTCGTTCTCAACTTTGGTTTTCAGTCAACACAAACTTACACACATACACACACACACACACACACACCCCTCACATATATTTATATTTATATATTCTAGACTGTTGAGTAAATTCTCTGTCTTTTGTTATTTTCTGTGAGATCATGTAACTTCTTAATGCAGTTGGAAAATGTGGTGCAAATGATACTGTTGTAAATGAAAGAACTTCATCAACCTCTAATTAGAAGTTGAATAACTATGTGAACAGCATAATAAAATAGCCCATTTTAGTAATCTACAACAGAAATTAGTTCAGGGAAGACTTTATTGAAAGGATAAGACTAACAAGCCCTTATTAAATGCATTTTAAAAATATTTCCTTAACTTCTGGACCAACACTGTCCAATAGAACTTCCCGCAATGATGGAAGGATTCTACGTCTGTGCTATCTGATATGGTAGCTACTAGCCATATGTGGAGTACTTGAAATGTGGCTAGTGCAGCTCTGAAGATGAATTTTAAATTAATTTACATTTAATTAATTTACATTTAAATTTATATAGCCCCACATATGGATAGTAACAACTGAATTAGTGCACCCTAGAGCCTGCATTGAAAGAGTATCTTTTCCTAATAACTTAAGTATTCTTTATGTTACTATATTTGGAACTAAGAAGCTTATATGTATGTATATCTATAAGCTTATATCCATATACATATAGGCTTCTTAATTGTATGCACACACATACACATATACACACACACACCCATGCATACCCATGTCTATATCTTTCTAGTTATCTATTTATGCAAGTACCAGACAACTTTGCCCTTTTTTGTTTAGGCAACCATTGTATACCATTGCAGAGCTGAGAAATTATTGCCTGTTTTGTTCCAGACTTCCAGGGAGTACGGGTACTCCCACTGGAGATCTAATCTAGCTTTAGGGAGAAAATCTTACAGAAAAGTATTTCCTCAAGATGAAATTTGCAAAAATATAGTACCACATTTTAGAATCATAAGTCAAAGATGTTCTTATTGAATCCATCCATTGATCTAAAAAGAACTATTCCCAAATTATCCTGACAATTTCCAATACTATATTAACCAATCTCTATACTTTAGTTCCTCTTCTTTTTACCAGAAATTAGTTATTCAAATGGCCAGATTTTAGTTGCCCCAGTCCTTAAATTGTAAATGAACTATATTTTTATTTCACTATAGAATTAAAGGAATTTATGTACCTCATTTTTAAGGAACACCACTGCAAAGGTATAATGTTCTGAAATCTGCTGTAATTATAAGAACACGGGATTTGGAAAATAATTTGGGTTGTGAAGACGTAATTATTTGGGAAGCCTGGAAAGCTGGAGGTAGGTCTACTATCAGGGACATTTAGACACTGATGGTCTTTACTATCTGTGGATATGACCTTCCTGGTGGACTTTCTCAGGGAGCAGAGACCAGGGAAATCCTTGTTAGTCAGGCCATATTGGTCCTGCCTTGGAGAGATTTCTTTTTCCTTGGCTAATTAACTAAGACATTTAATCTATTCTTAATGTGGGTGTGGTGTGTTCTTTTTCACTTTATTATAGAGCATCAGAAAGACCTGATTCTACTTCCTAGTGTCAGTGTGAGAATTAATTCATCTATAGGATTTAGTATAGCAACTAATATCATGCCATCAATAAATAACTGCTGATTTTTAAATTGAGTTTTAAAAGTAAAATGTAATTTTAACTAAAG
Organism: Homo sapiens; assembly: GCF_000001405.40. Lineage (NCBI taxonomy): Eukaryota > Metazoa > Chordata > Mammalia > Primates > Hominidae > Homo > Homo sapiens. Next base: position 23,072 of record NW_003315921.1, read on the forward strand.
AATAAAAATGCTTCTAAGAAGCATACGATCTTTTGGAATAAAGTAAAGGGCTATTCACTAGAAAAAGACAAAGCTGTACCAAGCATACTGACAACAAAGCCATCCCCAAATGTAAGATTTTAGTTTTCTATTAAAAAATAGAATATAATGGAATTAGTTCAAGATCAAGCTCCTTTCTATGGATAAGATAGGCACTAACAGCATTGACCTTTATTAATATGAGAAAAGGAAATTAATGAATATAAAGCAGGAAAGCTGAGACACTCTGAGGTTTCCATGAACTGCTTATGATTGCTCACATGCCAGACTCTGGAATATTTCCTAGATTTCATCTCTAGTTTCCCTCGGCCCAGCTGAGTGTAATTAATAAAACTCTAAGCACCTGCAAGAAGCTCCCAGTATTGTTTTAGGGAATCTTCTCTGTAGGCTAGTGGGAGAGAATGCTAGTTATCAAGTCTTACCTCCATAAAGGAAGTAATGCCGTCAGTAGGATTAGTCTCAAATAGTCATTGTGACATCTTTCAGTTGGATTTTTCTCAACTTAGAAATCAGGTTTTGAAAATGTTAATACACTTTCAAAAACAAACCTGAAGAAGATAGTGACATTTTCCAAAGTAGCTGAATAGCATCATAACCTCGCTTAAGTAATGAAGAATTCAGACTTGTAGCAGAAGAATATTAAATGTGGGAGCAGCTATTTTTACAATGTTTAATGTAAAATGTCTATCAATCTTATATTGATTATGTCTAATGTTAAAGGCAATACATCAAGATTATTTCTCAAAATGTAAACAGAGCAGCAATCAGAAAGAGTGGATTTATCAGGAATATGTTTTATATTTGTTGTGCCTTTATTCCCCAGGAAAAATATAAAACTATGTGCAGCTAAAGTGTCTACTTGACTGCCTGATGATGATTAACATTTAAGAATTTGCTCTGGGGGAAATAAGGTGGAAATTTAAATAGTGTTGCAATTTGCCATTAGTGCTGTTTTTCACTATTTCCAAATGAGGACACAAGTAAAAGATAGTGGGGAAATCGCATGGACTATATAATATTCAGTCCAACCCTCTTCCTCTCATTGATTCTGTAGATACATGCTGGTTTAACTGCATAGATGACTTTGTTTTTAAGCTGTCTTTAAAGAAACTTTAAATCTTCCTTATTTAGCAAATATCCCTATAGTCTTTGGATGCAAAGTGTCTACATGTACATATAGACACAGAGATATATTTTATATTCATCAAACAGAATATCAATTCATTCCAAGTTGCAGAGTCACATCCTCTAAGAAAACATTGACTCTCCTCATTGCTGATAATATACCTCCCTCCTCCCTTGACGGATTATACCATTTGTCCCTTTACTTTTGAACCCCAGCAAAGGGTCTACTATCCTAAGAGATGAATCTAATTAAATTTTAGGGCATACTCAAGTGCTAGAAATAAACAAAAGTAAGACAAGAGCTCACGTATAATAACAATAGTAATCCCCACAGCAGTCATTTAAATTAATGCTTGTAATCAAGCAACGTAAACACCATAATGCAAAAGCAGAACTAAAATCAACATTCCACCCTATAAAACAGAGGGTGAGGGAGAGTGCTGGTAATATTGACAAAGATACTTTTACTTTACCCATGTAAACATCAGACTGTCTTGTTCTCCCTAGGCTTGCTTTTCATTCTTTGGTATGACAGTTCTGATTCTTCAGCCTCCCCATGAAGAAAAGAAAAATTCTCTTGAAGCTGAACTAAATTCATCAGCAAATGAAATTATATTCATTTGATAAAATGCTAAATGGAAAAGGCAGGTTTATTTTAAGCCGTCAACAGGCTGTTTTAGTTAATCATGCACAGTGCAGAAGACAGGAGTTTGGTTGCTAAGAAAATGTTTGGCATGTTTCCACGAGATCCATGTGACGTGAAATGCATCTGTTCATTTCAATAGTGAAATAGAAAAAAATAAAATAAACAGTGCAGGGTATATTTGGTGAGTCACTGTGGAACACAGGGCCAAAATAACTTCTGTGTTGTCAGTTTATTCTATACAACCTTATTGTTATGATGTTAGCCTTTTCTTATAATTCAAAAAAAATTTATTTTAATAGTGATGTTTTGTTAGCAAATTAATACAAATTCATTGTAGATAAATCAGAAAATACAAAATAAGAAAATTAAAATCTGCTGTAACACACACCCACACAAATACCAATATCTATATTGGTATGTGCATAGTAGGGGCTTAATATTTATTTGCTAAATGAATTAATATATATTTTACTTACAAATATGAGATCATACTGTAATACTTTTATAACATGCTTTAGAAATTAAAAGACATCATAAACATTTTTACTGTGTTATTAAGTATTCTTCTTTAGCATAATTGTAATAGTTTTCATTATTATGGGACAAGTAAGTTATCTGGAACTCCTGCAAAATTTCTTCAGTAGCCAGGAACTGAATGCGAGCACCTCCCAGTAAGACTGATACTGTGGTGCTGATATGATGAAATCTGAACATGTTCAACATTTTTTGCTGGGATGTCATACATATTCTCTGATTACTGAGCTAGTAAATGGAATCTCAGCTGTCCTGATTGTGTGTAATTCTGTCATTTCTACCACCAGATAGAGACCATCACTGCTTACATAGATAACGTGCCATTCACATCCAGGTGTACTAATGTGAGAGAGAATGGCCAAAGATAGCAATGTGCTTGGCACACCCTTGCACGCCATCGTGATCCTCAGAGTGAAGTAAGAATGGCTATTGTCTTCCACAACATCTTCAAGGTTGCTGCTGTGAACAAAGAGGCCAAACAGAAGAGTATTAATTCACAATGTGGAAGAATATATTGATTAATGAAGCTCTTAATTACGTAGTCCAAAAGGCTGAGAAGTTCCACACCCACAAAAAAAGGAGAAGCAGAGAAATGTAGTTGGTATCTCCTAAGAACTCACTTAAATCTACAGTCTTCACTAAGGACAAGGTGGAAAATAAGAAAATTTAAGGCCAAAACAATGACGGAGGGCAAACACAAGATTCTTAAAGGTTCAATAAAATCATTAGCTAGCTAAACAAGAACCAGCCTGCTGAGAAGAAGAATCTGAGTATCAGCAGAAAAGCTGGAGAAGTCTGCAAGATCATCATCACAAGCTGTTACCAAGGAGCTGAAGACATATCAAGAGAAATGGCTTACCAGGGGAAGAGCTCCTCTGTCACAAGGTGCCTCATCTGAAGCCACTATTAAAGCGGGTGTCCATGCTGACCAGAAACAAAGCACATTTCACAGACCTACTGCAAAGTTTAAATATGTGACTAAGTCAGTTCAGTGGCAGTTTAAAACATATTTAAACATAAATTAACCTGTAGACAAATAGATCAGAAAATGTGTAATAGCTCAAACACAACAGAAGTTTATTTCTTGCTCACTTAACAGTTGGAGGCAGGTGTTTCCTGGTTGGTGGACGTTTCTTCTCCACTTAGCAACTCAGGGACACAAACTGATTTTGCCTTCTCTTTGTCAGGGCTTCAAATTCATCATCTGCCTCCAGTCAGTGAAAGAAAAATGAGAGCTTGGAGGTGGAACACCTCCTTCTTTAAAGCTCTGTCCCAGAAATTGTATTCATTACTAGAACTCAGTCATGTGATCTAACTGCAAGAAGGCTGGGATATGTAGTCCAATTGTGTACCCAAGAACAGAAAATGGTTTGTTAGGGAGGGGAGAAACAGCAACCATTATCTGAGGTTGCTTAAATTTGGTCATATTTTGAATACTTTAGTACATGCTGGCAGTGCTGTAAATAAGCAAAAATGAATCCGGCACCCACATTCTGATTGCCACCAACTTCGTGTAATTTTTTAAAGGTATATAAAATTCATGTGTCAATGCATAAAGATCCATTTTAAATTGATACCATAAAAAACAAGTGGAATTGCTGGGTCAAATATTCATACAGAATTCTCTGGCTTTTCATTAAGTCGTGTCTAATTGACCCTGAGAAATTGTTCAATTTACATTCTTACCTGCAGTAGGTGAGAGTAGCTGCCTTCTGTGCTATCATCGACATCATTGTTAACATTGCATACAGCATTCACATTTTAAAGTTTTTTAAGAGACACATTATGATATGGTAATTGAGAGAACAGACCCTAAATCCATACTGCCTGGATCCGAATTCCACCTTGTCTTTTTTCTTCCTGAGACCTTTCTGTGTCTCAGTTTTCTTATCTGCAAAATAGGGTAATAATAGTACCTATTTCATTAGGTAATATTCATCTTTGTGAGGATTAAATGCGTTAATATGTAAAATGTCTTGAACAGCACCTGATGTATAATGTCTAATGTCTTATGTTTTGCTGTTATCATTTTTAATCTGTCATATATGTTATAAGCATCTGATGCATAATGTCTTATGTTTTTGCTATGATCATTTTTAATCTGTCTTATATGTTACAAACATTTTCTTCTGCATATTGCTTGTCTTTTGTCTTTATTTATAAAGCACTGCTTTCCATACAGACTTTAAAATGCTTTTATGGAGTAAACAATATCTAGACTTTCCTTTATAGCTTTTGTACTTCCAATTGTATCTTATAAAGGTCTATCTCTCTCTTTTTTTTTAAGTCATTCATGTCACAGATATGCTTTTTAAATTTTTTCTGATTTTCTTAGTCTGTTGGTATTGCTATAAAGGAATTTGGGAGGCTGGGTAATTTATAACAAAAAGAGGTTTATTTGGCTCATGGTTCTGGAGGCTGTACAAGAAGCAGGGCACCAGCATCCGCTTCTGGTGAGGGCCTCAAGGAACTTCTACTCATGGTGAAAGACAGACAGGAGCAGGCATCACATGGCAAGTGAAAGGAAGAGCTGGGGGAGAGAAAGGTCCCAGGCTCTTTTAAACAATCAATTCTTGTGTGAACTGATCGAGTGAGAACTCACTCACTACCACTAGGATGGCATCAAACCATTCATGAGGTATCTGCCCCACGACCCAAACACTTCCCACTAGGCCTCACATCCAACATTGGGGATCAAATTTCAACATTAGATTTGGAGGAGACAAATATCCACACTATTTCACTTGTTTTCAATTATAACTGAGAGCACAGTTTTTGTTGATTGTTTTGAGAAAGTCCTATCATTATTTTTCCTTAAAGTTTCTACATTAGGGGTTTGCTTAAAAAAACCCTTGCCACCCACTTACAGTTTAATTAATTTACCAACAATTGATATAAGTAGAGATATAACATTGCTTTCTAAATTGTTTTCTAATTATCCCATCATCATTTATTATTCTGTGCTCTGATTAAAGGGGCTCACTGAAGGTTGGTACCTCCCTCATTAACTTGACGGAAGCCACATTCCTTGTTTTGTTTTAAAGTCAGTTAAGAGATAGTTCTGTATGTACAGGCAACTCTCAACTACCAGCCCATAGATAACCCACTTTGGAGATCAATGAAATAAAAAACCAGACTGAAAAAAATCTTCTCAGCCTGGGCTCTTCACACTGCTTTCTACTGGGCTCTGCTCAGAAATGCCAGCTAACTTTAACTTTACATATGTCAGCTCGGAAGAACGATTTTTTAAAGGTATATAAATGTTTTACAGAGCTAATTACAAGTGAGTTTGGAAATTTCTGCCATCTAGCTATCTGTGCATTATGCTCTTCAATGATTACAAGTAATGGAAAGCTGAATGTTGTTTTTGAAAAAATGAAAACCACATGTCATTCCCGGAATCAGACACTGCTATGATTTTATAGAATAGAAATCAGAAGACAGAAGGGACTCAAGGAAATTTAGCAGAAACAAGTCACCCAAAGTAGACATAGATTTTTGACTCTGAAATGTAGAATTAGTCAATCAACAGCTCATAAAACTTTTTCTATAAGACCCCTCCTTTTCATGGAGGGCTCAAGTATTCATGAGTATTCTATGAAAAAGGAGTTCAAAGAATCTCAGATGTCATCACAGCTTTTCTTTAATCCAAAATATCTTAACAGAGGTATGGACCTTGGACTTCGAAACCTAGTCTTGGCTTGGCATGGGGGCTCACGCCTATAATCCCAGCACTTTGGGAGGCCGAGGCAGGTGGATCACTTGAGGCCAGGAGTTCAAGGCCAGACTGGCCAACATGGCAAAACCTCATCTCTACTAAAAATACAAAAATTAGCTAGGCATGGTGGCATGCCTGTAATCCCAGCTACTCAGGAAGCTGAGGCATGAGAATTGCTTGAACCCGGAAGGGGGATGTTGCAGTGAGACAAGACTTTGCCACTGCACTCCAGCCTGGGTGACAGAGCAAGAATGTGCCTCAAAAAAACAAAACAAAACCCAAAAAACAAAAAATCTGGTCTTAAAATAATTATCACTCAGTTATGGTCTACATCAATGCTTCTCAAACTATCTAAGGTGAAGAACCAGGGTTTTTTCCCATCCGAAAGAGAATAGTTCTGTGAAATATAATATAAATTGCTAGAAAGGTGAAATGAAAATATAAACAAATATAAATAGAAGCCCATTTATTTATTATTAGATTTAGCCAGTATAAAATTACTATGTCAAATTGCTGTAACAGTTTGTAAATCTAACTTTTAATTTCTGCTTTTATTTCATTGACAACCTAGTAACAGTTAGCAGGCTGATATGGATCCATGTGTCACACTTTGAGCAGCACCGTTCCATGCCATTTCTGGCCCCAAGCCAATGCATTTTTCAAAGCTAAAAGCTCCTATGACATTAGAGAATGGTGAAGAGAGAACGAATTTAACTGTTGTATATGTAACTAGAACAAATGTTACAACTTCCTTATTCCTGTGATCTGGTTATAGAGTTTCCAAAACATGTCTTTTGACCTGATATTTGGTTCTGAATTGATAAAATTATGATACACTTAGAATCCCTCACTCTGTACGTAATGTCTAAATCCTAAAATGCTGCTTGTATAGCATATTCCCTTTTCCAACTGTAATTTATTCAATATTTGTTTTCTATGCCTAATAACTTTTTAAAAAAATATTCAATGCCCATGAATTTAGTGCCATGTGGAATGGTACATAAAAGGAAACTTTACATTCTGGTTTTACTCCAGGTAAGAATTTTCCAGATTCCCTTTGTTCTATAGTTTCCTAAATGAGGAGCTCTTGGCCTCTTAGGCACTGGCTCAGCCTTTCTCTTAAACACTGAAAAGACTCCTTGGACCGAAATAAGAGCATTCATGGAGATCATTTTACTGACTTCCTTTCCTCTACCCTTACTCCTGCCCTTAAGCTTTCAGCATCTTTTGTTTTGCTTCTGATATATACCGTTCAGTATGATTAGACTGGGGAGGATACTAATAACCAGTTATGTTATCAAACTGTAGGGAACTACATTTCTTGACTTTCCTTGAAAAATATGGACTTAATCTTCCTGAGTAAAGAAGCATCCATTGTTATGTAGTTTATTTTATGCTATGACAATGGCATTTTACTGTTTAGACTTCAAATAGAAATTTTCTTCAGCAGTATTGCTTAATGTAACAAAATATTGGCCTTTAGAATATCTTCAAACATTTGTAGAGATGGAAAAAAATTAAACCATTTATTCACCTTAGGTTATAGTTCTTTCAACCACCTTTGATTAAAGCATGTTTAGAAAAAGTCAGTTTATGGTTAATATAGTAGGTAAAAGAATTAAGCAAAATTTTAGTGTTAAGTGTTCAGTAAAATGTCATTGCACACTGTTGATTTTATCACAATCTATCTTAGCTCATTGACCTTACTGACAGGTCTATCTTAGCATTAACCTTGTAGCTGATCTTGGTTTTTTGTTAATTGCCATCCTCTTTCACTCCTTAAATTTGTTATATTGTTATTTTAAAAAAGAAAAAGTCTGCTAATGTAAAGGTTCACATTTACCCAATAGATACCACTCTGAAAGCATTTATATGCTAATCAAAATATATGCTATGCATGGTTATACATATTAATTAACAACAACTATAAACAGATATTTTCTAAGCCCTACCCTAGATAAGTTTTAATTACTCACCAGAAGGATAAATTCCATTAATAGTCTTAAGAGTTTCTCTGACCGGGCGCGGTGGCTCACCCCTGTAATCCCATCACTTTGGGTGGCCTAGGCAGGTGGATCACATGAGGTCAGGAGTTCGAGACCAGCCTGGCCAACATGGTGAAACCGTGTCTCTACTAAAAGTTCAAGAATAGCCAGGTGCAGTGGCGCATGCCTGTAATCCCAGCTACTCGGGAGGCTGAGGCAGGAGAATCACTCGAGCCTGGGAGGCGGAGGTTGCAGCGAGCCGAGATTGTGCCATTGCACTCTAGCGTGGGCGACAAGAGTGAAACTCTGTCTAAAAAAAAAAAGAGTCTCTCTTGGTCTGCTTCAGAGAAAAGGTTGTAACACCTGGAAGAAAGAAAAGCTTTTCCCTAGGATGGGGAGAGAGGATGAGAAGACCATGGTGGAGTAAACCACACATGCCTGGAGCTATTAATTAGTAAAACTTGGCTCCAATGTCAACAATGTTATGACCTAAAAGGCTTCAGGCAAATGATAGAGTTTATGTCCAGTCCCAAGGCACCCTCCTGTTGTCCAGGACCTGTTCTACCACCTCCATGAAGTATCCCATCTCTTCCAGCCTCCTTCCTCCTCTGGAACCTTATTCCTTTCAATATCCTGGACACATGGCTGCACAGAAATCAAGCCTAGGGAGCATCACCATATTCTTTTACCTTGTTCATGAAACAGTGAGAACACCTCTAAAGCATTTCTAACCCATCCACATAACTTCAATACCTGGAATTTCACAAATGAAAACCTACTTCTCACATTCTTTTCACTAATTATCAAAACCTCTTGTGTTCGAGATAAAAACCAAGGCAACTATAGCTGCCTCTGAAATTTAGCGTTTTGATGAAATGCTACCAAAAACCATTGCTGGAGTATATATTTTCAATTCGAATAACTACCTGCCCTAGGGTCTGGATTAAAATGAAATAGAATAAGTATTTACACATAAATTGTTTGTTGAAGTGTTTTAAAGTAAATTACAGACCACATAGCACATTCCCTTTAAAAAGTCAAGCTTTGTGAAACAGGATTACATTTAGGATGTTCTCTTGCTCATTTCCTATTCATTCTTAACCCACAGCTTTCCAGCTCCCATCCCAACTATCACCTTGAAGGCTCCTGACAAGGCCCTTTATAACTTAGATGCTAAATCCAGTGTCAAGGTCCCAGCACAGTTCCTGAGATATACTTTTAAAGTATTAATGTTCTTTTCTGTAATTTTAGGCAAAGTCAAACATGTCTCAATACTATTTTTCCCTTGTCACGTACGCTCAATGTTTTAATTATAATTTTGAAAAACCTTGATTCAGGTATAAGACAGAAGAGTCTGGAAAAGTAATTAAGTGGAATACACCATGCTCATTATACGGCAATTGAATTTCAACCCCCATGAAATGACCAAAAAAATCCATTTATTTCATTAAATCCCCAAGCTCTTCTGAAAGTGCTGAGACTGACAACCCAAACATATAAAAGCACATGAAGATAATGATTAATAAATGCCTCTGGAAAATCATAGCTAGTAAAGATTCTTTTATGGGCAAGTTAGGGTCCACATTTTTCTAGCAAAATTTGTAGAACAGAGTCTACTAATTGTTAACAACAAGATTCTTTCCTGTATTAAATGTATAATATTTTCCTGTACATATCAGTTTTAACTTCTCTTCAAATACTCTAGACCGAATAAAAGAATTAGAAGTAGGTGATATGTTCATAGAGGCATTTCTAGGCAGGCAATGATTATGTTATAATACATACTGTTCTGAAGTTGTTTGAGTTTTAACTGAATACAAACAGGAAATGCATGTTTTTCCACTCAACACATTTGAGTGCTTTCCCTCCCATAGAATGGAATGTTGGGAGTGCCTTTATTTTCATTCAAATGGGTAATATATATGTGCATGAGATGTGGGAAATGCCACTAGTAATAACTGAAAATTTAACTTGAGAAAAGCTTCAGTTGCAAGGAAATAAGAACAGATTCAGAGTGGTTTTGGGAAGCTGCCAAATCATGAGTAGAAACATGTTAAAAAATCCTTCTCCTATTTTTTCTGACACTCAGAATTTCGAAATCTCCTTTGATAATCTTTGAAGCAGCCCCACCGTTCCCAGAAAAAACTGCAAGGAGCAGAAAGGATAGCTGTGTGAGTGAAAGTCATCCTTTAGGAGGGAGAGAGATTCAGGTTCTGATTCAACTAACATTTAGGGTGTTCCTGATAAGTTTCAGACACCATGTTTGGTGATTTCTCAAATAGTAATATGTTATTGTGTATTATTGTGTACTATTGTGTACTTGTATTCAAATATCCCAGCTCAGGGAGGGAATAAAGAGAAAGTGTATAAGTGCATATATATTTATCTTTTTCTTTTAGATTATGTGTATATATGATATGGGCAGGAGGCAGAGAAGTGCTGAGTAGAGGTGGGTAGTTTCCCGGCAAAGGCCCCATTCTCGAGTCTGGAAACCCGCAGCCCTGAATAAGAACAGGTATTCCTGTTTCCTTGCCCAAATTTTGCCTTTTTTCCCACCACACACCTCTATTCTATACCCATATAAACTCCAAACTGCAGGCTCCATGAGAGGACAAACAGAACAAAAGAGTAGGGAGAAGGAGAGAAGAGAAGGAGCATCTGAACGTCTAGAAGAGTTCAGCTGGGGATGGTTGGAGGGCAGATCAGCCACAGGACAGCCAAATTTCTGGGGAAAATCATCTTCCCACCCCATCCCCTATTTAGCATCCCATCCATCCCATTGAGCCGCCTCCATCACTCAATAAAACCCCCACATTCACCATCCTTCAAGTCCATGTGGGACCTTGTTCTTCCTGGACACTGGACAAGAACCCGGATACCAAGTGGGTACTGAACTGGTTATCACTTAAGTCCTCTGTGGATGGCAGAGCTAAAGGAGCACTGTAACATGCCCACTGGGGCTTCGGGAGTTGCAGGCACCCATCCCTAGATGCTACCGTGGAACCGGAGCCAAAAAGCACTTGCCCCGGCTCCTGCACCTGCCCATCTGAGTGCTCCCCCTCCTGTAAGGGGTTTGAGCATGCACGGTGGTGGCCGAACAGAAAAGCCACATCCCTGTTGCACGTCCCGTGAAGGAGGTCAGGGAACTCTCCCATTTCATATGTATATATATACAGACATGTATATATGTACGTATATATTCATTTAACAATTCCAATAATTCACCTATTGTTTTAATAATGAGTAAACACTACTGTGGAGTTTATACCTGGAATAGGTTTAGTAAAATGTGGAGGAGTCCACTCTCCCTTGGCTAATCTCAGTTCCTAATTACTTCTCATATTGTGAGCATCTCTCTGTGTACACAGTGACGTGGGTGTTTAAAGAGAAGTATTTTTTCATATAACATGACCCTTAAACATCAGCCAAATTTCCCTCATATTCTCTACTGCAGAATTGGTAACTTATTATAATGCTGGAATTAAAACTTGTTGTGTTCTGTAGCCTGGCCTCTAAGTAAGAGGGTTTTTTTGCCTAACGTTTTGAGATTAGAGCCTAATTCTGATTAAAAAAAATATTTCTTCACTGAATATCTGTTAGTTGAATTCTCACAAAAACCTCGTGAGGATTAAGAGGTCTGTTAACAGCTAATAACCATGTCACTCCATCTGTGGCAGTAGCCTTCCCCTTTCTTCAGGGAACGGCATCATCTGGATTCCAGCCTCCTGGTTAAGGTAAGGACCGGTCACTATGGGTTCCTGCTCTCTGGCCATAAGGAAGGTCGTGTGACTCCAGATGACCCAGTGAGACTGACCTTTTAACCTGGTCCCTGTGACTGGTCCAGGGAAACACATGTGCGACTAGGTCCCTCAGTGTCCTCTCCTAGAGATTTTCTGATTGAATCGACAGGAAAGAGTTTTTCTTACATCTCTGATGAGGTTCTGTGAATATGTTATCTTCAAGCGTCCGCATGCCATGTCCCCACCTGATAAAGATATCTGCATACATAAAAACAACACTCAGAGAGGAACAGAGATGTGAGAGGGTCCTGTCAGCATCCTGTGTGCAGTCAGCCTAGAGGCCAGATCCTGCTCTGCTCCTGCCCAAGGCTTATCTTGTTTTGTTTTTCATTCTTTATTTCAGAATCCTAATTATTGCCCCTTTGGCCTTAAGCTAGTTTCCTCCATGGATGATTCAGTATTGCCTGTGCTTCACTGGAGAGAAGAGCTTAGTCCACAGGTAATATAACTTGCTCCATTCCCAAAGCTAGTAAATGACAGAACCAGTCACCTACTAGAACGAAACCCATGTGAGGCACAACATCAAAGTTTACAAGGCTGAGATTCCCTGGTTATTAGTGGTTTTGTAGATTGGGACATATTTTATTTATTTATTTTAAGGGAGAGAAACTCCTTTTCCATTTAGGCACTGGCAGAAAGTCATCTTAGAGGAGATCTTTTTTCTGGGAAAAGTCAGTAAAGTGAGGCCCCTTCTGTTATGTAAATGACAACAATAAACACTATTTCTGGGGGAACATAAGACAGAAACTTTGGGACTCCATGAGGCTTGATTTTGTAGACTCTTGTGAACCCATTTACAAAAGCCTAATGCTTTCTGAAAAGAAAAAAATCGAGACCCAACACTTGCTCCCAGAGATTCAAATTTAGGAAAACTTGTTGGGGTAGATTGGAATGACCCTGACCAAAATCCTAGTCAGGAAAGAACAACAGGGCCTTTATGTTGCTGAACAACAAGCAATTTCAGCTCTTCCAGATGTGACTAATTAGATGTATTCACTCAGCAGTTTTTCACTGAGATGAGGGGACAACTCAGGACCAGCTCTAAGCAGTGCAGATCACCACCTAAGGGGAGGGTCATTTGAATTGACTGACATGCCAGCCTCCCTTAGGATCTTAAATGCCACCCACTGAAATCATTTTTCCTGGGATCTTCCATGTTTAGGGGGCTGCCCAAACCCCCGGGTCAGTATACGGAACCTAATGACAACAATAGACAACAGTTAGTGAGTCCTTCCATGTGTCAGGCCCAATGATAAGAGCTTAACATTAATGTTCACTACAACCATATCTATGGTATTATCCCTTTCACCCCCATCATTCTCACTCCCTTAACTGTGCTGCATGTTTTTCATAGCATGTACTCTTGCTAAAATTATATATTTATTTGTTTTATTTTTTGTTACCTGACTCAAACTAAAATGTGAGCTCTATGAAGAAAGAACTCTGTGTTGTTAACCCTCATAGGCAGGTTGCTGTCAAACAGTGGATTTTCAATCAAAATTTATTGAATGAATGATGGTATTATGTGATTTTATTATAAAAACCTTATGGGACAAGTTTTTGATGGGTTAAGTAAATTGTACAAGATAACATTGCTGGCAAGTTACAGAATCCAGACTCGAATTCAAGTGTGTATGACTCCAAAGCCTTTGCTTTGAGCCACCAAGTTATTCTGGCTCCCAATATATAGAAGTGGTGGCTGGGGTACCCAGAGCATTTAGTAAGTAATGGAAGGAAACAATGAGAGAAGAAGATTAACTTTGCTCATGTTGGGGAGATAATATATATTCTCCTCATGTCTCATAAATTTGTACTTGGTACAGACCCCTGTAACAAAAGACAGATTAACAAGAGAAAAATAAGCAAACTTAATAATTCATGAAGTGCACATCACATGAGAGAAATCCCAGTGAATAGTAACTCAAAGCAGTGGCTTGGAACTCTGGCTTGTATAGCATCTTCAACAAAGAATGATAAAATTAGAGAGAAATGCCAGAATGAAGGAAAGCAGTTTGGGGCTTCCGAAGGCCAGACAATGTGGAAGATAAATACATGAGAAGAAACTAATGAAGTAACATTTGATTTCAGATTCCCCTGGCACTGTATCTAGGCTAAGAGTTGTCTCCTATAAGGGAGAATATCTATACTGTTTTTAGGCAGAAAAGGGGAAGATAGAGAGAGCTCTTCATTTGCTGCTTCATAGTTACCTTTAGTTCAAAAATAATTTTTATATCCATGAGGCATATTTGGGGGTGATATATTCTGGTTTCCTTCACCTACTTCACACCTCTGCTGAGAGACTGGTCTTGCCACCAATATTTACTAAAGCATAGGCTTAAAGGTTAAACCCGAGTTCCAGGAGGCCGAGGCAGGCGGATCACAAGGTCAGGAGATGGAGAGCATCCTGGCTAACACGGTGTAACCCTGTCTCTACTAAAAATACCAAAAATTAGCCGGGCATGGTGGTGGCGGGCGCCTGTAGTCCCAGCTACTCGGGAGGCCAAGGCAGGAGAATGGTATGAACCCGGGAGGCGGAGCTTGCAGTGCACCGAGATCGTGCCACTGCACTCCAGCCTGGGCAACAGAGCGAAACTCCATCTCAAAAGAAAAAAAAATCCGAGTTCCAGGCCCGAGTCTCCCTACCTAGGGGAACTTAAGACCACCTAACGTCTCAGAATCTCTTTCTTCATCTGCTATCTCCTAAGGGTTGTAACAAGATTTAAACATAATAATGATGGCAATGAATTTAGAACAGTTGCTGACTCAATAAATTCCAAATAAATAGTAGCAGTGATCCCAAGGACAGAGATTGGTTGTCACACAAGGAAATGGCCCAGCTCTCTTCTGCCTCCAGCCTGCACTTCGCTGGGTTCCAGCCAGTACTGTTGACGGTCATTTGCTAACTGATCAGCTACACCATCCACTTATATTAGATCCTTTTTAAAAATTCTTCCTGTTTCCTGACGATGCCCCTAGATATGCAATAAGATCCCAAATGTGAATACTTGAAAGGGCCTTGCTTGCAATGAATATAATTCTGTCACAACTGCCCAGTGGAAGAACTATTCCTTCTATGAAGGCGTGCCAGCCCTCTGCTCTGCAAACCGAGAAAAGTTTTAATATGTACTTTCAAGTGTCTATGGAAAACATCTGGGGCTTGAACTATTTGGAGTTATTTACTCAGGGCTATCACAAGGAGCCAGGAGAAGTACACAGTCTTCTGACAATTAGTTGAGGAGGCGTTTACTGCTGTTCTTACATACTGTATAACAGAAGAGGTCACCATTCACGTGTCTATTTCCCTTGCTATGTATCTTCTCTAATTTTCAATCATGAGGACCTCTTCTTGATGTCAAGAAATATTGCATACTACAATCCCTCCCCAAAAGCAGTGGTCACTTGACGGAGGAAATACATTATGAAAAACTGCTACAGTGAATTAACTAAGAATGGAAATTTTATGAATCACATTAACATCTATGTATATTTGGAAAATGGTAGTGCATTTCTGCGTGTAACATTTTAGCTATCCAGTAAACAGCCATCCAGGAAGCAAAGAATCCCTTGCATTAACATCCTGGCGCCACAGAGACCTACATCCTGCAGGCTGGGAACCAATGTCTAAAGGTATTTAACTGAGAGTTTGGAGAAGAAAGTACCACAAAGTTAAGTTGAACATTATCTTTCTGAATGGTCTATAATTCTACTAATGACTGCTGAGTTTAAAAATTAAAATAATGATAGGCTGACTGTAAATAGATTTTTGTTTTTGAAACAGGAAAACATGAATTTCTAGTTGCTTTGGAGTCTAATATTTGACTACGGTAGACTGATCTAAGTCTTGGCAGGATACGAGACATAATTTGAAACCATGAAGGTATAAGCCCAAGGGAACAATGTGTATAATGCTGGAATTATGTTCAAACTGATCAGGGGGATGGCCAGGGGGATTTCTTTATTAAAATTATTGAACAGGAAAGTGCCTTCAACCACAATATAAAAGGCAATTTGCAATTACTGTTCTACTTTTCCTCGACTTTCCATTTTATTTTAGTACACAAGCAGTTTGTGGTAAAATCAGCTTTTGCATCTCTTGGACTTATATTTTACAGAAAAAGATTTACTTTAGTTTTCATTTTAATGCTACCATGTAACAAATTGCTCTAAACTTTAAAAAAAATCTGCTTTCTGGTCTGTTTACTTCCTTTTTGTCATTAAATGATTAGGAAGATAACATTGTTGAGATCCTGAAGATTCTGAGGATGAAACATATATTTATGCTACATTAGGGAAGTGAAGCATTTCTTGAATCAGTATTTTAAAAGTGGAGTCAAATAAAATTTATTTATTTTAATCTCTGAGTTGATTTAGCTCTGGGCTATCCAAAAATGAATTTCTCAATATGAGAAATAGTCAGCTGTTTAAAATAAAATTATGACATTGAAAATTACATACTACAAATCCTAGAATATAGTGGCGCTCAAAAAAGATTATTTTTCATTGGCTTGGGGATAAAAATGCTACTATTTGTTCATTTAGTATTTTTTTCTTTACTTCAAGACTTTTGTTTCAGAATTAAAAGTTAAGTTCTAGAAAAAATGTTTCACGAATGAACAAGAAGCAAAACAGTGTATGAAAGTACTTTGTAAATTAAAAGGTAATATTAAGCCCATACCCATCAATATTTTAATGAAAGCCTATATCACAAATAGGTGTTGACATTCATTTATTCCTTCATTTATCCATTCAACAAGCATTTGTTGAATAATAGGAATTCTGCTGTGTGCTTAGGATTCAGTTCTACACAAGGTAATAGAGAAGCCATGCATTTTAGGCTCTGGAGCCTGCATTTGAATCCTAGCTTTGTCCCTTACTTATTGTGTGACTTTGGGCAAATTAAGTGACCTTTCCATGCCTTGATTTTGCCTTCAGTTAAATGAAGATATTAATGACATTTAACTCATAGAGATGTCCTGGAATGGTGGTTTATAACCTACCTTGGCCGTGTGTTAGAATTACCCAGAGAGCTTTTTAAAAATACCAATATATTCCTCAGCCACTACAGTTCTGGTGAAGTGATAACAGAGACTTGGACTCTGACAGCCAACCGATAGTGTCACCTTGAGGACACCTAGTTATGGTTTTTCCTGACTCCCTCAAGAGGAGCCCACTATAGGCTTGCAGGTGGAGTTTTGACCAATCATAACTTTCTCCATATTATCCTAAAAGAATATGAAAGGGCTGTAATCTTTAGATCAGGCCACATCATATAATGAGGAGCCAAAGAACCTGGTTTGTTTGTTATCCTGCCATGAACGATAGCTTGATCCAAGTAGACGTGAGAACTATTTCATTAGATATTCCACCAGAGGAGAAACTTACCAAGGATTCAGTGACAATTCGTGTGGACAATTTATGTCATCAAATTCAGAATGCCACCATGGCAGATATCACCAATGCCGATTCAAAACCCATATTTAGGCACCAGGAACTTTCTCAGGTCCACTCTGACACAGAAATTGCATACAACATGTCAGGTTCTCTGGACAATGGTACTGATGTCTGAAGGATAGAAGTAGAGTGTGAGGCAATTAGGTATGCAAACTCACCTGTGCAACCCCCTTGATTCACAGATTCAGAAGCAAAAGCATCCCATGAAGTCTAAGCCAAGCTCATTGCAGCTGGGGGAGAAAATGGCTCCATCCTGAGCTCTGAATGAGGCCTCAGTGGTGAGTAACTGATTCCCTAACACCCTTAAATCTGGAATGACCAGGCCCGAAATGACCAGAGTTGCTGAGAATTCTGTGAATGTCTTCCTCTGCTCATGGATGTATGATGAGGCATTGAATTTGTTTCCTATGGTTGCTGAAACAAATTACCACAAATCTAGTGGCTTAAAACAAAACAAATCTATTATTTTATACTTCTAGAAGTCAGAATTTAGAAAATGGGTCTTATGGGGCTAAAATCAAAGTATTGACATGGCCACATTCCTTTCAGAAGCTCTAGGGGAAAACCCACTTCTTTGCCTTTTATAGCTTTACAGGCTGCCCACATTCCTTGGCTTGTGGCTCCTTTACATCTTCCAAGAAGCAATCACATCGTAACCCATGCTTCCGTGGTGATGTATCTTTTGATGACTCTCCTGCCTCCCTCTATCCCTTATAAGAGCTCCTGTAATTGCATTGGGACCACCTGAGTAATCCAGAATAATCTCCCCATTACAAATTCTAAATCATATCTGCAAAGTCCCTTTTGCCACATAGGGTAACACATTTACAAGCTCTAGGGATTAGGATGTGAACACAGGCATCATGGGACAAAACATGGAATTATAGAGGTCAAGGCAGAGTTAACCTTCAATGCTCAGGGAAGAGTAGGGCAGGGTGACTTGAACTTCTCCCTCCCCCTCCTTTGCCAGAAGTTGAGTTTCGTATATCTAGAATGCATAGCAGATAAAAGAATTGTTAGTCTGTAAATGCCAAGAGACATACAGCTTGATGATTTATAGAAAAAATCTCTTAGCTTTTATAATATTTCATAGTTCTTCGTTTTTATTGTTGAGAAGCAGGTTAAATTCCTCTTTCTTTTGGCTCCTATAGAGGCACACTTCACCCTAGAAACAAAGTGCAGTGTGTAGGTTATAACCAACACAGGCCTTCTCCTATCACTCTGCTTACTCCTGCAGAAACTTATTGAAGAAAGGGTTCCCCAAACCTGTTTGGTCTGAAAAACAGTTGAACCCAAACTGTATTTGGAAATAATCCTTACCTGAGCATAGGCATGTCCTTGGCTGTGCCTGCCAGTGATGCAGGGTATTTTCTCAACCCCTTCATAGGACTTGTGGCAAGGGTGCCTCATTTACTCAGCCTGCTCTGCTCAACCCCTCTCGGGAGGGAGTGTGCAAGCAAGCGAGTGTGGAATCAGAGTTAGCAAGTGCAAGAGCTGGTCAGCGGCCCAGCGGGAGCAAACTCCATTCACTTGGGTTCACCAGGCTCCACCTGTTGCGAGAGGGAGCGTGCGAGCAAACAAGTGCAGGAACCAGCTGGCTGCTTCAGTGCTAGCAGGAGCAAACTCCACTGGCAGGAGCAAACTCCGTGCAGGCCCTTGTGACCCCAAGGCCCCAGAGGGTGTGTCACAGTGCTTTCTTAGCTCCGCCACCTGCAGACAGCAGTGTGTTATCAGCTCAGTGGGCCTTTTGCTTTGTCACATGCGGTGGCTGCCCTCTGCCAGCAAGGGCAAAGGGCCAGTGTGACAGCCTTTTTGGGTACTCATGTGGTGCATCCCAAATTCTTGTCCAGTGCCCAAGAGGAATGAGGTCACGTGGACAAACTGAAGAACGGTGAATGTGGAGAATTTTATTGAGTGATGAAAGTGGCTCTCAGCAGAGAGGGAAGCTGGGAAGGGGATGGGAAGGGCAGGTCCCTCTCCCCTGAAGCCAAGCTTCCTCTCTGCCTCTCTCTTCCAAAGTCAAGTTGCCTCAACCCGCCACTGTCTCTGAAGTTAAGTCGCCCTACCTGGATGTCCAGCCACTTCTTCCCTCTGCTGGCTGAGTCTGGGATATTTATAGGCACAGGATGGGAGGCAGGGCAGGCCATAGGTAGTTTTGGAAAAGGCAACATTTGATTGATAAAAAGACATTATTCAGGAAGAAACAATCAGGAGAGAGCAGGCACACACAGGGATGGAAATTCTTCCTTTGGGCCATGGTGGCTTCAGCTTTTCAACTTGAAGGTGGAGGTTTGCCAGGGACCTGCCCTGTCTGCCCAGAGTTCTCTGCCTCGGTCACAATTACCAGCACCAGGGAAGTAGGCAAAACAAATGGCAAAGCTTTTCCAATTGTTCCATGACTTTTAAATCTGCTGTTTTAGATATTCTTAATACAAAAGTACTGATTTGTTTTAATTGTTTTGAGCCTTCCTTATGAGTGAATGATTATACTGTGGATTGTCTTTTGAACCAGGTAAATACTGCCCCAAAATAGCCTAGTTTCAAATATCAGGCTTTAGATCATTTTGTTTTGCTTTTTAAATGAATCTTTCTCTGCTGAGCCATAGAGGTCAGGATAGAATAGCTATTTGAACCAGCTATTCTGAATAGCTATTTGAATAGCTTCAGAACTAATGTGCTTTTTCTAACATCTTTAGGGAAGCAGTGTATTTTACTCCCTGCATGTGGTATGCTATTGTGCACTGTGAAGGCCTGGATTACAATTCCTGGTTCTCACAGTGCACAATAATATTTGCACACCGGAATTCATCATATGTGGGGCACAAAACAGCCAAAGAACTTGGCAGATACCATCCAACTTGTGAAATAGAAAGAAAAATCAATGTAAAACACTCCAGACTATTTGTTTTCTCCCATCCCCCAACATATGATTGATCCTGATCCTGATTGATTCTTACTCTATAACATTGGGCAGCACCTTCCAGATCTCAACAGCCTGTGAATCTGTGTACATGACCCTCCACCTCCTGGGTCTAGGAAACCAACCTTGACATTCATATTATTTCTTCTTTGAGATTCTGAGTTGACCTTGAAAAGTCCAGAACTTGGGCAGTGCTCTCCCAGAGCCACCCTGGGCATCTGTTCTTTGATAGACAAGCCTTGTCAGTCCAATCTGCAGAGGAAGGCTTTCAATCCATCCCTGAGTTTGAACCACACTCTGGCTTCCCACACCCAGGATCTTGGCCAAGATTATTTGAAGACATCTAGAGTTTTGTTTTGTTTTGTTTTTTTTACTTGGAACTCAAGTTGCATGTTTTTCTTATTGAAGTTTAATGTTTGGTTTTATCTGCATTCTCAGAAACAACTTCATCCTCTTCTGGCTGAAAAATCCCTGATTTGATTTAAAATAATGTGTGCATTAAAACATAATAATAATGGAAGCCAATGGAACAAAAAATGTGTTTGTCCTATCTAACCATTTTTCTTAGAAACCTAGCTGGGACTATGATTTTCTTAGCAAATTCCTAAGCTCAGAGAAGTTAAGCGTGTGCATGACAGCACAAAGCCAGGGGCCTAGCCCAGCAAGATAGAGGGGGTGTTTTATGGGATAGTATTTCAATGAATGACTGAAGCCTGGATATCTGGCTCCATGGGGTGCAGTTACCACACAAGACAGTGTGTCTGAGTGGAAGAAGGAAGGCTGGATCCAGGCCTCTGTGTGACGCTCAATGTGGTGTTATTCAGCCGCTACTAAGGAGTACCTACCTGCCTCCTGGGTGACAGAACCTCCAGGGCTTTGCCAATCACAGCTGCAGAAAGGGCAGTGCTTGGAGAGTTGACAGCATTTTAAAAAATTGTAATAGATGCCTATATCTAATACCAAGCATTAAATAAGACAGGAATATCACCCAATGTGTTTACAAACCTTGTTTTTTGAAAGATTTACAAAGTATATTTTTTAGTCATAACTTTTAAAAAGGTTTTGAAGGTAACAAGACCTGCTTAGCTAAAAATCCCAGGGCAAAAGTGCATTGCTGGCCAGCTGGTAGTGGTTGAAGAAAGACCAGAGTATAAGTAGGTGTAGCAAATTAACAGCCCAGGTGATGTAATAAAACTTAAAGGACTGCTATTAAAGCTACTCAACTTCAACTTGAACTTGTCTTTAATTCTTGACATAACTTTATGAAATGCTTACATTTTTGCTCTAATTATTCCTTCTTTCCCTTTCTTCCTCTTCTCCCAATGAAGTAATCAGTTCGATTGTTTGACCAAAATTTATATTTTGAAGTATTGTTTGTAAATAATGAATTAAAAGTTACCCATAAAATCCAGACAATGCAGTGACCTACCCTTTAAAGAAATCACTGCATATGATTTTGAAACAAAATGCAGGTTCTTCAGGGCAACTGACACCATCATTAAACGATATCGTTGTAACAAGTAAATAAAATGCTATCTTGTTAAAGAAAATTCATCTGTGTTGATATAATTTTCCCAATTATAAAGGCTCAAGTTGATATTAGGGTAGAAAATTGGAACAAAAGAAAAACATTTCTGTAATGTTTGCATTCTGACCACCTGGAAGAAAACTAGATTCAAAACAATGATTTCCAGGGAAATGAAATTAATTGAAAGTTCTCAGGAAAAACTATTTAATAGTTGTTCTGTGAGAAAGCCATTATTAAATCTTTAAATAAAATGATATTTTTATTTGAAGGTCATTATAAAAAACTAAAAAAAAAAAAGGATTTTACCAAAGAGAAAGGTAAAAATATTGATAAGGTTCGGGCGTGGTGGCTCACGCCTGTAATCCCAGCACTTTTGGAGGCTGAGGTGGGCAAATCACTTGAGGTCAGGAGTTCGAGACCAGCCTGGCCAACATGGCAAAACCCAGTCTCTACTAAAAATACAGAAAGAATTAGCCAGGTGTCGTGGCGCCACCTGTAATCCCAGCTACTCTGGAGGCTGAGGCACAAAAATCACTTGAACCCAGGAAGCAGAGGTTGCAGTGAGCTGAGATTGCGCCACTGCACTCCAGCCTGGGCGACAGAGTCTCAAAAAAATTTGTTTGTTAAGATAGTAATAAGAAATAATCACATATCAGATGATGGAATTCTTTTTCTGGTTTTCTGGCTTCACATTCATTAACTTCTCTGTTCAGCTGCTGTTTTATGCCACTCTCTTCTCAACTTGATTGTTTTTTCATTTAGAATGAATGACACTGTCTGATTATTTAGCACCAAAAGGCATTTTTATCTATTCCTCTGTAGATAAAAAGTATTCTAAGTGCAGACCACTAAAAGTTTGTGTGCATACATATATTGGGGTTATGCATTCAGGTAATTTTGTTAAAATTGTTTCTCTGGATTCAGAGTTGTGTCGGGAAAGGCAAAGAAAAATCACATAAGCATTTAAATAATTCTCAAGGATTTCAAAAGAGAAATCATGAGGTTCCCTAACTGCTATGATGCAATTCTGTGAGCATGAAAAATGTCAGGAAAATAGTGGGTAGATGTGGTACCATACGAAGAGTACTACACTAAATAGTGTAAATATGGTTTACACTATTATAAAGTTCTTCAAAAAACAATCATGCTCCAATTTCCTTATTTTCTTCAAAAAGTTTTTTTCTCTATTATCATCAATGTATAAAAATTCACATTTCCATTTTATAAGGTTTGATAAGTTGCCTTGTGTCAAACATATTTTTCTGGCTTCCAGATAACCAGTGCAAGGCCAGCATGCCTTTTACATGGCCTCAGCCACAGGTGATCACACTTTATGAGGTCAGACCTTGGGCCTCAGACTGCACAGTGCCAAGTGGTTATAATAGGTCCTCAACCCAAATTGTGCTCCCTGTCCCATACTACAACTTCCTTCAAAATTCTTCCATCACCCTTTCACCTTCTCACAAAGTCAGGGATTTTATTGGAAACCCATACTTCAAGCAAACCATGCAAAGGCAGAATCATCAGTGGTTCTGAAAGTAGTGGTAGGGAAAACAGCTGGGACCCTTTAATGGCATAAAAAGCCCTCCCTCTCAGGTGCTGGAGCCTTCTTCAAGCTAGGTCATTGTGAATGGAGAGCTCACTGCCTATCTGGGTCTTGTCGCCTGGAATTAAGATGTAATTACTATCCTGGCAGACTACCCCTTACCAAGGATAAACAGGTGGGTGCAGTTGGCAGTAATTACCCCTTTTTCTGACTCACAAATAACCTGGCACCTTCCCCACCATGGTTAGCAAATCCCAGAAGCCCTAATCATCAAGTAATTGTTTGATTGGGACTGGATTAGTCCTCAGAGCTAGAAGTGCCTGATAAGAAAAGGGATATACAACTCGGAACTAATTATTTTCCTGTTATAGTTGGCATTTCAGCAGAAAGAAACCCAGGGTTTCATTAGAATGTTAATGAAGAGACTTTTTCACCTGAGTCTTAATGAGACTAACAGGTTCTACTCTCCCACTATGTCTTTCTTTTGCCACACAGGTCTTACCTAGAAGTTGGTGGGTATTCACTGTATGGTGAGGACAATACAGGTTCCAAAAAGAAAGCCTGAGTGTTAAACCTGCTAGACTAGGAAAACAAGCAATTATCTGAAAAATTCTGACCCTTAATCTTTTGTTTCCTCAAATAACTCAGGTAAAAAATGGGGCTTCTCCTAAATTGTCTTAAAATTGCCTCAATTTCCTTCTTTGCTAGTGGAAATTTCCTTTCATTTTGCTTCTTCAGCTGAAAGGCGTTTCAAACAGCAACGAGGCTAGACATTGTCCTTGCATCAATAGGGTGGGCGTGGGTTTTCTGACAGATTAGTGTGATTGCATGTGTTTCTCTTCTCACTGATCTTTGCTCTCAAACAGCCCCAGAATGCTGATGCTGGTACTGTAGCCTTATCTCAGCTTGGCCCTAGACAAAACTGTTATGGAAGAAGAGAGCCTGGTGAGAAGAGAACAGAATCTGTGGTCAGATAGACCTAGGTTCCTATCCTGGCTCTTATACCAGTTTCCTGAGTGGCCTGTAAATTCATTCATCCCTAATTCAGTTGCTGGTCTGAGAGGACAAGCTAGATACGGTTATGGTGACTGTCTGATGAAATAGCATAGATGTAAGCAGCCAAGAGTATCTAGGAAATGCAAACAATTAATACCTGATTTCCCTTCTTTACCACTTGGGAAGGATGGCCAAACATCCTTGTTCTCCTGTTGTGTTGGAGTAATCATTAACAGCGCCCCAAATGTCCCCGTTAGGATGATAAATTCTGTGGTTATGCTACACCCAGGTAAAGTTGGGTTTTGATCATGTTCTTTTTGTTTGTTTGTTTTGTTATTTTATTTTATTTTATTTTATTATTATTATACTTTAAGTTTTAGGGTACATGTGCACAATATGCAGGTTTGTTACATATGTATACATGTGCCATGTTGGTGTGCTGCACCCATTAACTCATCATTTAGCATTAGGTATATCTCCTAATGTTATCCCTCCCCCCTCCCCCCACCCCACAACAGTCCCCGGAGTGTGATGTTCCCCTTCCTGTGTCCATGTGTTCTTATTGTTCAGTTCCCACCTATGAGTGAGAACATGCGGTGTTTGGTTTTTTGTCCTTGCAATAGTTTGCTGAGAATGATGGTTTCCAGTTTCATCCATGTTCTTGCAAAGGACATGAACTCATCCTTTTTTATGGCTGCATAGTATTCCATGGTGTATATGTGCCACATTTTCTTATGTTCTAACCCTCTTTGTGATAACACCCTCTACCTTTGTCAGAGAACTTTAGTGGGAAGGAATGAAACTCCTCCATCCAGCTTAAGCAACCAATGGAATTCATTGGAAAGGTGCAGAAGTGTTCACAAAACAGTCAGGCTTCATGAGGGGCCAGAACTCAGAAACTAAAGTTATGTTTTTATCTCCCCAGAACTGCACGTTCTCCTGATTGCTTCTCTCTGCACATCTGGTTTTATCTTTTCAAAAACTACTGACTTTCACTGCTTTAGCATGCATGTGGCCACCATGATCTCCAGCTTTATACCATTCACAAGTCCATCAGACACTGACTAACGTTAGTTTGTAACTCCAACTTTCATACTCCTAAATTAAAGAATGCCTGGGTTTTTCATGTACACAAATGCATTCCAAACACACTGCCTTGAGTGTGGTATCCACCTATGGTTAAGTCACCTGTGACTGGAGAGGAGATGAGGTCTCACGTGGTTTGCTACCCTTTTCATAGATCTCTGAGCATTTTCTCTGAAAAGGGAGCATGAGAAAGTTCTTGAAGGTTTGCAGGGTGAGTAAATGGATAATGAAGAAAAAGATGGCCTTTTAGTAACCCTACCCCACACATACAATATTCTGATGTCCCACTGAAGCACTTTCCCACTGTTGCTCAACAAGTATGACTTGTATACACCCAGAATTCAAAGTTCTGCTTCTGGGGTCTCATAACTTCAAGTATTTTCTCTGTGCTGGGTGATGTCTAAGGGGTTATCTATCCTCAACAGCTCACATTTTGCAGTGATTGTAAATGTTCCCTCACCACTAATAGTCAACATGTGTTCATTTTCCCAGAGGCTTCCAGGGGACAGGGTGCTGGAAACTAGCACTTCTCAAATTTTTCTAGCAAAGTGGCCCTTATAGTAGAAAGAATTCCTATGCTTAGGGTTCTGAGATTGTAGTGAAAGGTAAATCTGAAATTTCTCGCATTTTAGCTTTTAAACTTAGGTCAATTTGCATCTTATAAAACATTTGCATTTGTTTTGATATAACTTCTCTCAAATTTTGGAGTGAAGCCACTGTTCTCAAACAACGTACCATGATTCTCCTGTAGTATCCCAGGCATACTGCCACGTACCTACTGGGCTGTGCAAGCCCTGGTTTGAGACACATGGATCTAACCCAATGAAAGGGAAATAACAATACTGGAAATTTAGGCATCAGAATAAGTCAGTGGGGGATCCATTCTGGAGTTGATTATTATTATTATTATTATTTTTTGGCATCTCAGGTCACCTAACATTTGAACATCTGGTTATAGGGTTGGGTCTGAATGGCACTCATATTTTCTTCCACTTTCTAGAAATAGATGTGAATTCTAATCCTAGTTCTACCTGTGTTCTCCTAATCCTCCAATTAACTAGCCATGAGATATCGAGCAAGTTGCTGGAGTTCTCTTTACCTTAATTTTCTTATTTATATATTAGACAGGTTAGTAAAGAACTCCTGTGAGAATTGAGTAAGGTACCATATGGTGTCTAGCACATGTTTTTTCTCCTCTTATCTTGCATTCCTTTCTTCCATATGCACATAGATTGCTTTCTTCCCTCCTTTCCCAATAACTTACACCCTACTTTAGTCATGTAAGTGCACTCTTGTCTCTTCAGTTAAAGTCTCTACTCTGGGCCTCTGGAAAAAAGAGGGACAGGCAGGGCCTAAAGTCAGCCTGGATTCCTGCAGTCCTGAGAGTTGCTACTTGCTCCCTCTTTCCAAATGTAAATGAGATATTTCTTGTATAGTCATTGACACCTTCCTTTCTTCCCTCTTCTCCTTACACACACAGTACGAAACCCAGATATGAAAGGGATACCAAAGAGAGCCAGCATGAACAATTTCAGAATTTAAGGCTTTAAAGGAGAAGTATCTGAAAGGCCCATCCAATCATGGAGAAGCCATAGATAACTTAGAGTAGGCACCAGTGACTTCCTTCAGGAATCTCCTGGCTCATCCTTCCTGTCTTGTGCCTAGCTTCTGCCTTTCCACCCAGCCCATGATTCAGTTCCTTTCCTCCTTATCTTCATACGCAGCTCTGGCTCTCACAAGCCCACTATGGTAATTCAGGCTGGTTTCTGCTTGTACAGAAGGCAAACAAAGACAGAGGTGGATTTTGCATTTGTGTTAAAATGCTGATGTTGGTACTGTGGTACTGGTACTGTGTGAAAGAGTTTCTCATGGCAAACAATATAACATGGACTCAAATATGGGACACTAAGGTCTGCAGGCCCTAAAAGAAAGAAGCTCTTTCCATACTCTGATAGGCTTACCCAAATATTATTACCTAAGTAGGGGCAGAACAAGAATGACATAAGACAACCTGCACAAAGAGAATCTTGAGACTATAGCACAGTCTCAAGTATATGTGAGAACCTTGAGACTATAGCACAGTGCCTCCTTCTGAAAATTGTTTTAAAGACATATCAAACAAAACCCAGTAGTTTCTTGAAGATCCTTAGGTTCAAGGCAGTGTAAAGAGGGCCAGTGTATCAGCCAACAGCCACTCACTCATCTCCTTCCTCTGCCCCCACATACTCACATAAGGTGGAATCCCAAGGCAGAGGGGTAGCAGGGAGAATAATGACTTTTAAAAGGGCCAATACCACAATATATATAGCAAGTGTCTCTGTTTATGGTGAACCAGGCATTTGTTAATCAGCTTTTGTCACAATACTGCAGCATAATAAGCCACCCCACTGTTCAGTGGCTTACAATAAGAAGCATTTCTTCTCACAGTCATAGGTCCGGAGATCAAGTCAGGCTCTGCTGATCTAAGCTTGGGCCAGCTAGGCTTGGCTTCAGGCTGCACGTTGGGTTGAAGACTGCTCCACATTGTTGGTTCTGAGTCCTAGGATGAAGAGGCAGTGGCTACAGGGAGCCCCTTATGGTGGATCACGGGGGCTCATGAGCCGAGCCAAATTGAGCAAGCACATTTGAAGACTCTACATGAACCACATCCATTAACATTTCATTGGCCAAAGCTAGTCCCACGGCCAAGCCTGAAGTCAATGAGGCTAAGGAATTATACTCTATCTCAAGAAGGAGCGTAAGTTGAGTGAGTATTTTCTGAACAATAACCCATTGTGCCACACCAGGTTTAGGCATGTTTGGTTCCCACCACCACCAATTCGTTCAACACTAAAAGCTGAGAGTTGGAGGGAAAGTTAATGGTCAGCTAGAACAAACTTCCCTCCACAACACAGGGACACTCTCCACAACATTTCTGAGAGGTAGTGATGGAGCTTCGGTTTTAGCATGTCCACTTGACTTAGAATTTTCACTATCTTTGAGAAAGAATTTT
This sequence comes from Homo sapiens, assembly GCF_000001405.40. Lineage (NCBI taxonomy): Eukaryota > Metazoa > Chordata > Mammalia > Primates > Hominidae > Homo > Homo sapiens. The sequence goes on from NW_003315921.1 coordinate 51,438, forward strand.
GTGAAGTTCCCATGTAGAAAAATGTTCCTTAAATAGTACATAAATCTGCTTCCTTCTTTCATTCATGGAGTTTGTATCTGGATCTGGAGCCACACACAAATATTTGGTCCCTTGTCTGGAGGGTGGCCTTAATAAGGGGTCTGCCTAAGCAAGCCATGGGCTCTCTAGTAGGCCTCACTAGAAATGGGCTCTAGAATCCAGTTCAAATCCCAGCTTCACCACTTAGAGCTGTGCGTGTTTACCATGTGTCTCCCTTTTATTCATCCATAAAATGGAGATAATAATACCTGTACTATACAGATAGTGTTAGGCTTCAACAAGATAATGCCTGGAACACACTATAGTAAGGCCTTGATAAACATTGGCTATCATACCACAGGGCTGAAGAAAAGCAATTATTACCTCTGTCTTCTTCAGACAAAATAGCCTGTGTTCTTTCTACTGTGTTGTGTACGTGTTTCCTTTTCCCCATCCTCTAATTTAACACTATTTGTCAGCCGTGACTCTGTTAGGCACAAGGGACACCATCCACATTCTCCCTCACTTTCAGGACAGCCAGCTTCTCAGTACATGCAGCCCAAAATAGTGTCAGACATTCTACTGCCCGCACATTATTAACTCACCCAAGCACTCCCTCTTCCCACCCCTGCCTGGCTACTTCCAAATGGATTGTTAGCAAGTAGTCTCCCTTATAATGTCTTTCTACAGGAACTTTTTTAAAAAAATTAAATGAATGTCTTTAAATGTATTTTGACTAAAGTTTGCCTTTTACTTTGCCTACTTTTTATTCTTTTAACATCCTTTTGAATCCTGGGTCTGTTGTATTTTTCTGGGTTTTTTTAACCCCTGTAATTTTGATGAGTGTATCTTTAGGATTTTATTCACATCACTAATAAATATGTTGAACAGGGCAAAGAATCCTGCAGGATTCCACTGAAGTCTGTCCTCTGGGTTCTCTCATTCAATCATCAAGAATGCATTAAACGTATCCTAAATACCAGACTCCTTACAAGGCAAGCTCATTGCAAGGCACAGGGTAAACAATGCTGAGAAAAACAGCCCTGGCCCCTACTCTCATGGAGCTTCCAGTTTAGTAGGGGAAATGGACATTCATTACACTCCTAAGTGCATAATTATAACAGGCAATAAATATTTTAGAGGAAAAATACATGATGCTTAGAGGAGAATCTGGCCTGATCTGAGGATTCAGGGGAGTTCCCTGAGCAGGTGCTGTTTGAGTTGGGAGTCAACAAGGTAAAGAGGGGACAGACACTGCAGGCAGGGGACACAGCACAGGGAGAGGCTTAGCTATGAAGCCTTGCATGGTCACGGTGTAAGTGAAGGCCAGTATGGCTGGCCCACATATACTCAGGGGAATGATGCCACACAAGAGTCTTTATTAGAAGTTGGATCTTTATGGAAAGAGCAGTGGAAAGCTTTGCAAGGCTCTAAGCAGAGGGGTAGCATAGTCAGATCTTCATTCTTAAAAGATCATTCAGTGTGGAGAGTGATTAGAGAGAGGCAAGAATGTTTATGGGGAAACCATTATGGAGGATATTGTAGTAATTTAGGCGAGTGATGAAAGCAGTTTGGACTAGGGTGCCAGCAGTGGAGATGGAGGGAAATTGATGCATTCAATAGGTACTTAGGAATATAATAGACAGAACTTATTGATAGCTTAGGTATGAGGAGTGAGGAGAAGAGGTATAAAGGATAGCCCTTAGTTTCTCATTTTTATAACTGCATGAATGGTGGTGTCCTTGATTGTGGCAATGAATACTGGAAGCAAAGCAGGTTTGCAGGAAGGAATGGGATAGATTTGATTTCAGACAAGTAGTGTTTAAGTACCATTGAAACATCTAAATAAAGATTTTGAGAATTAATAGTAACAGCAAACCCTTATGTGTCAGATGCTGTTCAAAGCACTTTGTATATATGAATTCATTTACTCTTTAACTCCATGTGGTAGGTATTATTATTAATCCCATTTTATAGAGGAGGAAACAAAGGCACAGAGAAGTGAAATGATCTCCCCACAGTTGCATTGCTGGTCAGTAGGTGTATTAGTCTGTTCTCACATGGCTATAAAGACATATCTGAAACTGGGTAAATTATAAAGAAAAGAGGTTTTTAATTAGTTCACAGTTCTGTGGCTTGTACAAGCTTCTACTTCTAGGGAAGCCTCAGGAAACTTACAATCATGGCGGAAGGCAAAGGGGAAGCAGGCACATCTTCACATGGCTGGCGGGAGAGAGAGAGAGAGAAGTGGGAGCTGCTACACGCTTTGAAACAACCTGATCTCATGAGAACTCTATCACGAGAACAGCAAGGAGGAAGTCTGCCCCTATGATTCAATCACCTCCCACCAGGCTCCTCCTCCAACACTGGGAATTACAACTTGACATGAGATTTTGGCAAAAACGCAGAGCCAAACTACATCTTTAGGGGATGTAATATGCAAGTTTAGAGCTGAGAAGAAAGGTCTGGACTGAAGTTATAAATTTGAGAATCATTGCCAAGCATTAGGTATGGAGAAAATTGGTCCAGTGAGAAAGCATAGAGTAAAAAGAGCTGAAAATTGGGAAAGAAAAACTATCCACAATCTGCAAATAAGGCCAAGAGAATGACTACATGTCCTTTCAATGTCATCATGAATAATTGTCAGGCCTACTCATGAATTATTTAATTTTCTAGGAAAATATACCATTGTTTAACTTTGCTTTTTACTATTAATTAAGGGCTTTGATTCTGTGACATTCCCTTCACTTGTACATTTGTATTTGGTGGAGATGCAAATGATTTCTATCCTGTAGAAAAGAAAATCCCAAAGGTTAAAGCTAATGAGAACATTAACCAGTTTTATACCCAAATTGCAATCTTAAGCTAACTTTCTTTTATTAAAAGGACTACATAAACCCCAGTGCCTTAAATATTCTTAGAATCAGCTGTAGCATTTTGCTGGTTCCATCATTAGTGACTGAGTTGAATAAAACCCTTGACACATGTTTATTCTCTATTTATAAGATAATTTATGTTTTGACTTCTGAGAATTGCTCAGCGAAAGAGTGCGCAGTGAAAGAACTGTGCCTTGAACATCTTCAGCAGTCTTTGAGACAGTCATTTTCCTGGCCACAAATCCACCCACTATTACCATGCCTGCATTTCTCTTTCTTTGCATTTATCTATTATTTAAAAAGTGTTACTGGAAAACTATTTAGTACAAGGCGTTGTACTAAAGCTCAGGGCATGGGAGAAAGAAGTTGAAATGTGAAAACAATACCATTGAGATACTAATGGGCTATGGAGGGAAACAGACAAATTGAAAGGAAACCATAATATGAAAAATGCCACCCAGGAAGAATGTTAGGAAGTATATAAGAAGGCTTGGCACTAGGCCCTGAAAGATGACAGAGACTGTGGGAAGTGGAAATGAAAAGGAAAGATGAAAGGAATAAAACAAACAAAGGTGAGACGAGAAAAAGAAGATATCATGGGAGATTTTCTTAATGTTTTGGTGACATTCAACTATTCTTTGCTTTGGTTGTCTCCACTCTGCCAGTTTAGATTCTGTGGGAATGAATCCTTAGCTCATTCCTTAGCTCAGGAGCCCAAGCAGCTCACAGTGCTTCCTGCTGTTCTTCCTGAAGGCATAGAAATGATTTATGGTCACAGAATCTCTGATTTGTTATCACCCTCCCCATTCTAGAACACAGAGGCATATTACATTCAGCCCAATCCCTGCATCTGTCCCTTCACATTGTTGTGGTCATGCCATCTGCTATGGTCTGAATGTTTGTGTCCCACCAAAATTCTTACATTGAAATCCTAATATCTAGTGTGATGGTATTAAGAAAAGGGCCATGACGAGGTGATTAGGTCATGAGGGTGGAGCCCTCATGAATGGGATTAGTGCCTATATAAAAGAGGCCCCAGAGAGCTGCCTTGCCCCTTCCATCATGTGAGAATACAGCTAGAAGGCACCATCTATGTATCAGAAAGTGGGCCCTCAATGGACACTAAACCTGCCAACACCTTGCTCTTACACTTCCAGTTTCAGAACTATGAGAAATAAATTTATGTGTTTTTTGTTTTTTTTGTTTTTATTTTTATTTTTGGATTTATTTTTTTATTTTTATTTTTTTATTTTACTTTAAGTTTTAGGGTACATGTGCACATTCTGCAGGTTAGTTACATATGTATACATGTGCCATGCTGGTGCGCTGCACCCACTAACTCGTCATCTAGCATTAGTTATATCTCCCAATGCTATCCCTCCCCACTTCCCCCAACCCACAACAGTCCCAGGAGTGTGATATTCCCCTTCCTGTGTCCATGTGATCTCATTGTTCAATTCCCACCTATGAGTGAGAATATGTGGTGTTTGGTTTTTTGTTCTTGTGATAGTTTACTGAGAATGATGATTTCCAATTTCATCCATGTCCCTACAAAGGACATGAACTCATCATTTTTTATGGCTGCATAGTATTCCATGGTGTATATGTGCCACATTTTCTTAATCCAGTCTATCATTGTTGGACATTTGGGTTGGTTCCAAGTCTTTGCTATTGTGAATAATGCCACAATAAACATACGTGTGCATGTGTCTTTATAGAAACATGATTTATAGTCCTTTGGGTATATACCCAATAATGGGATGGCTGGGTCAAATGGTATTTCTAGTTCTAGATCCCTGAGGAATCACCACACTGACTTCCACAATGGTTGAACTAGTTTACAGTCCCACCAACAGTGTAAAAGTGTTCCTCTTTCTCCACATCCTGTCCAGCACCTGTTGTTCCCTGACTTTTTAATGATTGCTATTCTAACTGGTGTGAGATGGTATCTCATTATGGTTTTGATTTGCATTTCTCTGATGGCCAGTGATAATGAGCATTTTTTCATGTGCTTTTTGGCTGCATAAATGTCTTCTTTTGAGAAGTGTCTATTCATGTCCTTCGCCCACTTTTTGATGGGGTTGTTTGTTTTTTTCTTGTAAATTTGTTTGAGTTCATTGTAGATTCTGGATATTAGCCCTTTGTCAGATGAGTAGGTTGCGAAAATTTTCTCCCATTTTGTAGGTTGCCTGTTCACTCTGATGGTAGTTTCTTTTGCTGTGCAGAAGCTCTTGAGTTTAATGAGATCCCATTTGTCAATTTTGTCTTTTGTTGCCATTGCTTTTGGTGTTTTAGACCTGAAGTCCTTGCCCATGCCTATGTCCTGAATGCTAATGCCTAGGTTTTCTTCTAGGGTTTTTATGGTTTTAGGTCTAACATGTAAGTCTTTAATCCATCTTGAATTGATTTTTGTATAAGGTGTAAGGAAGGGATCCAGTTTCAGCTTTCTACATATGGCTAGCCAGTTTTCCCAGCACCATTTATTAAATAGGGAATCCTTTCCCCATTGCTTGTTTTTCTCAGGTTTGTCAAAGATCAGATAGTTGTAGATATGTGGCATTATTTCTGAGGGCTCTGTTCTGTTCCATTGATCTATATCTCTATTTTGATACCAGTACCATGCTGTTTTGGTTACTGTAGCCTTGTAGTATAGTTTGAAGTCAGGTAGTGTGATGCCTCCAGCTTTAATTTACAGATTCAATGCCATCCCCATCAAGCTACCAATGACTTTCTTCATAAAATTGGAAAAAACTACTTTAAAGTTCATATGGAACCAAAATAGAGCCTGCATCACCAAGTCAATCCTAAGCCAAAAGAACAAATTTATGTTTTTTATAAGCTACCCAGTTTATGGTATTTTGTTACAGTAGCCAGAATAGACTAAGACAACATCCATATGAGATTTATGTGTTAAGAACTGAAGTTTATCTTAACTGTCGAAAAAGAAAATTAATAACTATAAAAACAGAAGTAAAAAAATAATTACATCTGGGTTTCTTGATATGTTTTTCTGAGAAGGTGCCTTTGAAACTCACACATAAAATGGACAAGCCAACCAGCCCAAGTAGGCTTTAAAGATGATGTTCCTAAGTGAGTCTGTGCTAAATCAGCTGAGGCAGTCCTCTTTTGTGCCCTGCTCAGTGCGAAATGGCTTTTACTTTGTACCAGACATTGTGCTAGCTCCTTTCACCTGCTCATTCTTAGTTCTCACAATAGCCCAGTAGGATTGTTCTTTCCATTTTACAAAAGAGCAAAGCAACTTTCATAAAAAGTATGTAGAGTGCTAAAGGTCATGGAACTGGGGTTGTAACCCAGACCTTCCAATTTAAAGTGCACAAAAGTTGTACTTTGAAGCAATTAGGTGCAAGTGCTATTTCCTGTTCGGGCTTTTGGGCTCCATTGGTAGGTTCCTGTACCTCCACATTCCTCGTATGCATTGAGGATTACTGGCCACATTCTTACGGTGCCAAGAGGAGACCCTGGAGCTCCAGGCCTTTTAATATGATTTATTCCTTAGCCCCAGTCTAGGGCCTTTACTCTTAGAACTTCCTACTAACTCCTCAAAGTATCTTATTTAAAATCTTCATTGTAAGATGGCATCTAACTAGATTGTGCCATTAATATAACTATGTACTTAGTCAGGTACTAGAAATAGGATTCCAATCTACAGGGGCCAGATCAGAGATCTTCCACAAAACCAAATGATGCTTTCTTTGCCTCCAGAAAGAGCCTGGTGTTTTACATCTACACAGTTCATTTTGTTTCCACAAATACTTATCGAACATGTTTGTTACGTGCCAAGCACTGCTCTATGCTAGAAATCACCAGGGACGCTAACATATAAAAGATGTAGTTCCTGCCTCAAGATTATGTTTCCTAGCATCTACTAAGGAAGGTCAAACATGTGCAAAGTGCCACTATTTGAGGGTCTGAAGACTCTGTGGGAGCCTAAATGGGAATAGCCTGTTTGGAGGACAATTTGGCAATATCTACCAACATTTAAAATATGTATATTCATTGATTTAGAAATTTTCCATTTATAAATTTATCCATAGAAATGGTCACATACATACATGAGGATATATTTAAATGTGCATAGCAGGTTTTTTTAACAATAGAATGTCAGAAAACAAATGTCCATCTAAATATTACATTGAAAACAACAAACTACACATTTATGTACTGACATGAATGTTTGTCCAAGTATAATCTCATAGATAATTCCAAAACAATGTAGAGTATGATTTCACTTATTTAAAAAAAAAACTTCTATTATATGTGTGTGTACACATGCATGCATGTGTGCAAATGCCCAAAGAAAGCTCTGGGTGAACACACACAAAATTGTTGACAGGACTTGCTTCTGGAGACAGAAATAGGAGTAGAGTTGGGATAAAGATGGTCTTTCACTCTTCATTATACATACATCTATGTAATTTAAATTATTTTTCATTACCTTAAATATTCATTTAAAATAACTGAAAAGTTGCCCCATGAGAAAAGCACAATGTGCTGTAGGGCTTTGGAAAGGTGAGAGCAGGAATCCTGGAAAAATCTCACAGCAGGTGAAGACGTACAATTAGGTTAGGCCACAAAAAATGAGGAGAAGGGGTTTACATACGAAAGTATTCCAGGCGAGGAAATGGAGTGAGCAGAAGGTATGCCATGCATTCTGCCAAGGGCATTTTGATGGCAGCTAGCAGAGGGCTTGGGTGCTCAGGGAGTCCTTAATGACCCGGCCAATTGTTGAAGCAATAGCATCTCTGAGAAACTTGCTGTGATTTTCTTTTTTGATTTGATATTTTATGTGTTTGCCCATTGCTTGCATTACTGTAGGTGCCTGATAAGTTTTGTGATAGAACAAGAGCAAACATGGAGTTCTGCTTAAAACAAGAAAATAAACCTTAAAACAATTTTTTTAAATGCAATTGACTTTAGCAGTAGCTGAATTTATGCCCAATTGCCTCAAGAAGTCCAGGTATAAAACAGAAAAGTTTTGTCTTTTTATAACCTACAAAGACCAAGGGAATTGAATTATCTGCTAATTCTTCAGTGCATAGTATTGTGTACACATCTCATCATAGCCCCTACTAAACTTATTAAACTCCACTTTAATTGTCTCCCTAACTTGACTATAAATCTTTTGGTGACAAGAAAGATGTCTTTTTTCTTTCTTTTTTATTTTTTAATCTACTGGGTTTAGTAAACAAAACAGATGATTCAAGAAATGTTGAATAAATGAATATGCCAATAAATGAACCAATCAAGATCGAGATGAGAATTAAATAAAGAAACAAATAAAACATTGATATGGTTTGGCTATGTCCTCACCCAAATCTCAACTTGAATTGTATCTCCCAGAATTCCCACGTGTTGTGGGAGGGACCCAGTGGGAGGTAATTGCATCATGGGGGCTGATCTTTCCCATGCTATTCTCATGATATTGAATAAGCCTCATGAGATCTGATGGGTTTATCAGGGGTTTCTACTTTTGCTTCTTCCTCATTTTTCTCTTACTGCCACCATGTAAGAAGTGCCTTTCACCTCCCTCCATGATTCTGAGGCCTCCCCAGCCATGTGGAACTGTAAGTTCAATTAAATCTCTTTTGTTTCTACTTTTGGGTATGTCTTTATCAGCAGCGTGAAAATGAACTAATACAAACATAAATAAGTGAAATGAGGCATGGCACTCAACTGTTTACAGCTGGGAATGCCAGACTAAGGTGCTTGGGCCTATTCTGAGGGCAGTGGGAAGCCAGTAAATAATAATATTGTGTAGGTAACAATATTATTAGAACTGGCTTGGAGGATAGAAAGAAAGAACAGTTAAGGAGCTCTTCAAATAGTCAAGAGATGGAGTAAAGATTAAATTACTCAAATCAGGTCAGAGTTGATTCAGTTGGCAGAAAAAAGCATCAAGGTGAGAACAAAAGGCAATACACAGCATGTTTTGATCAGCATCCAGATGGGGGAATGGTTCAGCTTTTTTCTTTAGGAAAGGGTGGGAGAGAAAAGGAGGACAGTGCCATCAAAATGTATGAAGGGAGAATAAACAGGTAATGGTGTGCTCAATGACAAAGATCACCCGGTTCTCTACTTCCCAGGGCAGCTTCTTTCTTTCAGATCTGCACAAACTATTGCTGATCTGTATGACTGCCTGCTTACATTTGCTATTTCTCAAGGATACTGGTTTAAGAAAACTATGAAATAATGAAAGACTCTTGCTCATTTATTTTAAGATAATATAAGATAGCAAGACTTAGGGGATCCTTTGTTATTTTAACAAACAATGTTGTCGATGGAAAGAGAAGTGGAGAATTAGAAACATAAATGCAAGCCTGAGCTACTGAAGCACAGAAAGTTCCTGAGGTCTCTTACACCAAATGAGCCCATTCCTGCTGTTGCTTCTGTCTTCACTACGTATTTCAGAAAGGAAATAAAATAAAATTGGTGCCAAGTGAAATATTTACTGTTTTGACTAAAGAGGACATGAATAATTGGAAGCTCTTTATACTAATAAATTCTAGGGACCACTTCCTGCTGTCAAATTCCAGTGGTAGCATTTGGAAAAGTCATGCATGAAGCTCTGGTGGCATACTACGGGGTCACCCAAAGAGAAATCCTGGAACACCCAAGGGAATAAAGGGAAGGAAGAGTTACTTCGTGGGCCTGCTTCAGTCAAAGGCCTTTGACAGAACAACAGAAAACATTCCCTTTCAAACAAGGAAATGAACTCTAAAAACAAAAATAAAAAAATTTTTTAATGCAAGTGACTTTAGGGTTAACTGAATTCATACTCATTTTTTCTCAAAGAATCCAGGTATTAAAACAGGAAAATATTTTCTTTTTATCACATAAAAAGACACATTGTTCACGTCCTACTTAGCTCAAAGTGGAAATTGGGATAAGTATAATGATCAAGTAATGGGATAGACTTTTCAGGCAAGCATTAGAATCTAAGCAGCCAGAATTTAATGGAGTAGCCAGATGAGGGCTCCTCCTTTGGGCCACTCAATCCACTTCTGGCCTAATACCAGGAATGGGGCCATTGCTCAGACCAGGATGGAAGGTCCTCTGTAGGAAATGACTCAAGAGTCAACTTACCAGACATGCCAGAAGAGCAGCCCTGTAGCTTTACAATCCCACTATATGTTTTATTTGGTTGATACACTATTAATTTTTTGTGAGGGTCACTATGGTTTTCTTGGGAAAGCTCTGGTACTGTTTCTGTAGGGCAAAGGGGCAGGGGAAGAAAGGAGAGCAGCATTTAGTTATTGATTCAACAAAATAGATGCTAGATAAAATGCTAAATATTGGGACAATATGGCAAGCCAATGACATGTTCTAAAGGAGCCAGCTGAGGTCCCTTACATGTGATTTCTCTGTAGTGTGGTAAATTCAGAGGAGGAACAGCAGTGAGTCAGCCAGCCAGTCAGCCTCTAGGAAGCAGACCCTCTGCTTTTGCATCTGTGCAGTTAACACAGCAGGCCCAAGACTGCTCTCCTTATAAAGGCCTACTTGCAAGGTTGGCCCTTGGCTGGCAGCTGGGGACTTGTATTTTGAGAGTGTTTCCATAACTCCCTCACAGATAAGGGTGTTTTAATGAGGCTCAATTGCTTGTACAAACAATGTCATTTATGCAGAACACCTGCTGCTTTCTGGGAGTCTGGAATTTTGGTATGTGCGAGGCAGAGGGTGCCTAAATGACCAGTGTCCAATACAAACATTGGGCATTAAGTCTCTAATGAGCTTCTCTGATAGACAACATTTCCCATGTGTTGTTTTATCTTGTTGCTGGAAGAATTAAGCATGTCCTGTGCATCTCCACTGGGAAAGGACTTTTGGAAGCTTGTGCCTGGCTTCCTCCAGATTTCACTCATATGCCTTTTTCCCTTTGCTGATTTTGCTTCATATCATTTTTGGTAATAAGTTATAGCCATGAGTACAACTGTATGCTGAGTCCCTTGAATTCTTCCAGCCAATCACCAAACCTGGAAGTGGTCTTTGGGGATTCACTACTCCATCTTTACTGTACCCTATACTTACGGTCAAGTTGCCAAATAAGTGCTATTTTCAGAAGCTCATTCAATGGGACTTTCTGAAGGCAAAGAGTATCAGGGTGAATTTTGAAACAGGGAAAAGAAAATGAAGTTTATCCAGACCTCACTAACTCTTGGAGTTTAGTATATAAAGCTTTTATTGCTTCTTTTGTGTTGTCTTTAGTATTATTTATTATGACTGTAGTTAAAGTTTGGTGTGTGCTTTTCGTAGTGTCATCTCCTATGTTTCTAATATTCAGAAGATAACAACTAAAGTTCATGCATCTCAATAATTACTATCAAAATTGTGTTTGTCCAATTGTTGAGTTCTCCAATATCCAGTTGGAGCACTATTCAACGGCACTTCAGTTTGCTGAGTTTACCACTAAAGCTCCTTTCAGAGTTATTTTCTCTCATTTTAAATGAAATTTCATTTGTGAATCTCTGCATCTTTATTTTTAACAATAGAGACATCTACAATGCAGTTATGTGCTTCTTCTAGAAATTAAGTATATATGTGTTGTGTACTTGTGTGCCCATATACCTATGGGTACATGAGTACATGAAGAGAGGGGAACTATTCATGTTGTTTTAGTTGGGTATTTTTGCTTTATTCCTTTTCTTTAACCTACAGACATGTCTTTCTTTTCTACATCTTATTGGTTCTACTATGCCTTCAGATGCAAATACGAGCCCTTTCAAGAGGCCCTGAAAGTTTTTGAGCAGGAGGCAGGAAAATAGGGGTCATTATTTGCATTACCTTCAGAGCACTAAGCACTTTTGATGACTCTTTTTGGCAATAAACGTGGCAGATACAGGTGGTTAGTACACCCTATAGCCAAACACTTTCTTCTTCCTCCTTTGCTAATAGAATTTGATTTGAGGTAAATGGCAACGTACTAAGCTCTAGGAAGGTAATCATGATTGGTCCAAGGTGCTTCCCTTCTCCAGTGGTTGTTCAGGGACGGTCATATGACCCAGTTTTGGTGAATATATCATAAGGGAAGTCTGCTGGGGGCTTCTAGGAAAGACTTTCCTTTCCCTCTTTTACTTCCCTCCCTCACTTTCTGTTTTAAACAAAATTAGGCAAGGACTTGATTTATGGAGGTGAAGCAGCTACCTTGTGACCATGAAGTTACAAATCTGAGAATGAAAGCTAACATCTCATAACAATATAATGAAAAAATGGAAAGAGCCTGGGCCTTTAATGACTTCATTGAACCACCACACTAATCCTGGGGCTACCCTCCTGGACATTTTTTTTTTCACTTTCATAAATGTCCTCATCATTTAAGCCTGTAGATCAGGTTTTCTCTTTCTTGTCTCTGAAAACATCTTAATACAATCATAAATGCAGTTTGACTCGAAATAATATAACATTGATAGGATACTGTGGATCTCTGTCTAGCTCTGCTCTTTACGTCCTAGGCACCATCCCCCAGCTGCTGGGAATATGGGTGGCTGATGGCTCAAGCTGTGATATGGAATTGCTTCTCCCAAGGATACGGCCCCAAGCAGGGGGTGGCTGATGCGGAGAGATAAAGCCCTGACCCTCTCCCCTCAATTTGAGACAACTCTGAAGGGCTATCTATATGAGAATGGCTGTGCCATGGCATCCTGATTACTTTTTATGTATCCATATAGTGAAGGCTTGAACCATAGCATATCTGAGTCTTGGAGAAATGCCTTGTGATCCTCCCAGAACAAGAGAGGGTGGGAGGCCTGTAAGGAGCTACTATGAGGCCATCTCCCACTTGCCTCCCTAGTTCCCTCGGGAGACTGTTTTGAGTTGGTTGCTTATTGCCTCCTAGGTTCTGATGGAGTGTGGGACTTTCTACCCCATTCACCCCAAAGCAGGGCTGCAGGTGATAAAGCCACTTTTCTGCAATCTAGAATTGGTTTCTCAGCAACTGGGTATCCCACAATTCATGTGTCAGTCATCCAGCCACTTTCATTTCAGTGCCATCCTTTGTGATGTGTGGGACAAGGGCTGTGGGGACTGGAACCTTGGGCTTATTCTTCTTTTTGTTATCTATGTAGGTAATAAAGAGTCTAAATCTAAGTGGCTCATTGAATCTTTACCAGCAGCATTATCAGCTTTTGGCCTTTGGCCCTGTCTTATATGTTTCAACTTGACACCCATCATAGTTCCCAAGGTTTCTGAAGGATTGGCTGAGACCTCAGGAACAACTGCATTGCAGGCCAGTTTTTCTCTATGCCCAATGTACCTTCCTCTCTTCCCTACACATGTTTCTCCCAAGAACATTTCCCAATGAGCCTGCACACAACTCTCTTAGTGTCTGTTTCCAAACCTAAGGTAATTGGTCCTGGCAGTGGCCCTAGAAAGTAGACTGTAAAATAGGAATTTAAAGATGGATTATTCACACATCAGCTGGCAAGCAGGACCTCATCACTTGTGGTAGACAGAACTCTGACATGCTGTAAAGGTGCAGTTGTTAGAATTTTCACCAATGGTGAACTGAGATGGGTGCTCATAGAAAATATGTATTGGATGAAGCAACATTGCTGGTGCTTGAGAGATAAGGATGAAATTGTAACTAAAAGACTGGCATTGGGTGGCTGTTGCTAACTGCTATTGATTTGTCAAAGATAGTTCATGACAGGATCAGTGTGATTAATCATCAATTCAAAGCAAATTATGAAAACCAGAGGGCCTCCTTAATAAACCCTAATCTCCTATATCTAGAGAGCAAATCTAGAGGAAGACTAAAGCCAGGAATGAATTAGATTAGCAAAGTTTCAGAGCAAGTTGAAATCTTAGCCTCAGCAAATCTCCCATGCCAAAGCCAAGGCCCTAATGAGGCAGGACTGCCACCCTGAAATCTGGGGCTATCTGGGTAAATGCATTTGAGATCTTGAAATGCCAGACTACTCTGGACCCACTGGGCTTGCAGAAGTGGTTCCTTTTTGGAAGATAGTGATACTCCTTCCCATGCCTTGGGAAATAAACCTTACAAAGTTTCAAGGGCCTGTCAGGGAAGTTTTAGGAGTGTAGTGATCTGGGCCATGCCAGAATATCTACTCCAAAGTAAAGAAAAAGTTATTGCATCTTTTCCTTCCTATGATCAAGAAAGATACACAGCTCTTGGCAGTCTTCATCAGTTCTGGGGGCAACATATTTAGAACTTAAGAATACTGTCTTGACCTAATTACCAAGTGACATGAAAGGCTACTGGCTCCAAATGGGGCCCAAAGCAAGCCAACCCAAGACACAGCCCTGCTGCTTCAGCCATGTAATTTGGCAGACCTTTAGGTACTATAAGTATCTGCAGTGGGAAAAGATGCCAAATGAAGTTTACAGTAATCCCTGTTCATAGGTCTGGTAGGCTCAGTAGCATCACTGTTGGATGAAAGTGGTACATCTGTAATTGGGCACTAGCGGGGCACAGGACATTAGTAAGCTGCACAAACGGAGACTATGACATTCACCATGGTGGTCCTGACACCTCTGCAGCAGCCCACACCTATGCCTGCAAGAGGAATCTTGAAAAATGCTTATAACTGAGTGTGTTATGGGCTGAGTTGTGCCCCAATCCCCCATTCATATGTTGAAATCCTAACCCTTAGTACCTCGGAATGTGACTGTATTTGTAGATAGGGTCTTTAAAGATGTAATTAGGTCTAAACGAGGTCATTGAGGTGGACCCTAATTCAGTATGACCTGTGTCCTTATAAGAAGAGGGGGTTAGGACACAGACATAGACAGAGGGACGATCATGTGAAGACACAGCAAGAACACAGACATCTGCAAAGCAGACATCTACAAATTTATTTGTTAACACATATGTAAACATACGAGGAAAGAGGCCTCAGAGGAAACCAAACCTGCCAGCACCTTGACCTTGGACTTCTAGCCTCCAGAATTATGAGAAAATAAATTACTGTTTTTTTAGCCACACAGTCTGCAGTATTTTGTTACAGCAGCCCTGGCAACTAGTACAGAGTGAAAAGGAGAATAATATCGCAGTAGCTGGAACAGAATACAAGAGTCAGAATATTTTTCTCAAATTTTATGGACAAGTTTTAAGCATATTTCTTTGCTGAAAGAAGAGTAGAGCAGGCCTAGACTCCAAGGCCAGGGTGGGTTTTTAAATAGTTATCTCAGGGCTTCATCTCATATGTGTCTGTTTCTTGATTTGGCAAGAAATTGATCATATGAATTTGACTATGGCAATGCAGTTGTAACTGCCTGATGGGTTCTTCCTGTCTACTGTACATAAAATCAACTCACTGAGACCATGGCATTAAGTAAAGAAAGAGTTTAATTGATGTGAGGTGGGAGACTGAGTTATTACTCAAATCAATTTCCTCAAAGGCTTGGAGGTTAGGGGTTTTTCAAAGATAATTTGGTGGGCAGGGGGATAGGGTAGGGGGCATGCTGATTGGTTGGGTCAGAGGTGAAATCATAGGGAATCGAAGTTGTCCACTTGTGCTGAGTCAGTTCTTGCGTGGGGGCCACAGTACCGGGTGGCAGGTCCTGGTGGAGCCATCGTTTGTCAGAAATGCAAAAACCTGAAAAGGTGTCTGAAAGACCAATCTTAGGTTCTGTGATAGTAATGTTATCTCCAAGAGTTTAACTGGGAAAGTTGCAAATCTTATGACCTCCAGAATAATGGCTGGTAATTATTCAGAATTCAAGCCCCTCTCATCTTCCTAACTTGGTGGCCTTTCATTAGTTTTACAAGAACAGCTTAGTTTTGGGGAAGGGTGATTATTATTTAAACTATAAACTAAATTTCTCCCAAAGTTAGCTTGGCGCACGCCCAAGAATAAGCAGACAGCCAACCTGTGAGGCTGGAGGCGAGATAGAGTCAGCCATGTCAGATTTCTCTTACTGTCATAATTTTGCAAAGGCTGTTTCACAGTAAGCATTTGTTCATCGAGAGAAAGTGGCTTTTTTAATCTTGAAAAATTCGTCCAATCAATGGGCGGATTCACCCTTGAATTGGTAGATAGGACTTAATGGCCTAAGGTAAAGAAAAATTTTCATAACCAAACTCATTTAATGAGAGTGTGTTAGCCAGGCGTGGTGGCTCATGCCTGTAATCCCAGCACTTTGAAAGGCCGAGGCGGGCGGATCACATGGTGAAACCCTGTCTCTACTAAAAACACAAAAATCAGCTGGACCTGGTGGCACATGCCTGTAGTTCCAGTTAATCGGGAGGCTGAGGCAGGAGAATCACTTGAACCCGGGAGGCGGAGGTTGCAGTGAGTTGAGATCGCACCACTGCACTCCAGCCTGAGCGACAGAGTAAGATTCCATCTCAAAAAAAAAAAAAAAAAGAGTAAATGTGTTAATTAAACATTTTCATCATATTTACGATCCACTGAAATTTTTCAGGTTCCCAATTCATTTTGTGTTGAGTAAGCAAAATCATTTTTACTTTAATATTTAATCAACATTATTTTAACTTTAATTTTCTTTGAGTTAAGTAGATTCTACCATGCAGCAGCATATGGCTTATTTTCATAAATGGGCCACATTAGAATCCACTCTCAATCTAGCTCAGTTCAGATCTACAGTCAAAAAAATCACTTTCAAGATAAGCATTAAAATATGTTTAGATATTAGGATTTCCCAGAAGTTCAGAGATTTTCACTGTGGCTTCTATACATTCTAAGCTTCAAATTATATTATACTACCTTGTTTCATTTTGGTTTTTTTTCTGTTTTGCTTTTAAATTATGCAAAGCGTGACACATACATTTTGAATACATTCAGCACAAGAACCCACACTTCTAATGCCCTATATATATTCTATTCACATGAAGAATTTTGAGTATTTTTAATTTTTATTTTAATACATATGTAAAGAGGAAAATAATTTATATTCATTTAATGCAAAACAAAATACCCTACACTATGGTGTTATGTACTATGGTCACTTTCAAAACCAAGCAAAAACAAATTTACTCAGCATAAACTTAGTTATACAACATAAATGTCAGTTCAACTCTGTACATCAGTGAGGCCTGAGAAATAATATAAATTAGAAAGTTTTTAAGCTGTTGTGTTTATTACATTCTCCATTGTGGAATGGGTAGAGAGAAAGGAAAGTAAGCTGAAAATGCTAAGTATTTTAATTGATGTTTATTGTTCACATATATTTTATGTCACAAAGTATTTTAAAGTTTATTAAACAAGCTGTAGGAGTGGAGGATAAATGCTTTCTGCTTTACAGGGAGGGTTTTCTGATATAGGAACCCACAAATAACTGATGGGCAGTTGAACATACTCAAGATCTGTTTTTACAGCCTGTCAGGAGTTTCAGATTCATATCTTCAGTAGTTTCCTCGTATTCTGATTTGAATTGGGTTTGACTAGAAGTCAGGAAGTAGGAAAGATATCTTACAGAAAGGTCTCTCTTCACAACCATAAATATTGTCCAAGGGAAGCTGGGACAAAATTGTATTTCTCTGCTATTGCTACAATTTACAATTTTATTCCCTGACCCTTTCCCCTCCCCCAAAACACACACACTTGAATCATTTACTTTAGTATGCAGGAGACTGTGTCAGCCTCCAGGCCACCCCTGACCTCTTACCCTAATGTCCTCACTCTTTTCCTCCACTGCAATCAAGGAAACCACTTCCTCAGAGTTTTTGCTTAATTCTTTAATTCCAAGTCCTTTTTTGTTTTTTCTTTTCATTGTTGGTATTCCCTCTATGAATTGTCTGTCACTTTGTGTCTCAAAACTCTCTCAAGTCTGAGCTCACCTCCAACCTTAAGTTTCCTGAAGCACAAAGAGAGCAGCCTTCACACTTGTTCAATGTGGAGCAACAAAGTAAACTCCATCCTACAAGAGAAAGGCTCAAGATACAGTCTTAACTGTCTCTCTTTTAGTTATGTGACTCTAGGCAAGTCACTCAACCTCTGGGGAACTTGGTCAGCCAACAGTAATTTTACAAAAACGTTTACAATTTGCAATTTATAACTTTTATATTTTTATAATTATTGTAATGAACGTACAATAATTTTACAATCACTGCTATTTCTAATATTTGTTAATGCATAACAAATTTTTGACACTTTTCTCAAAAATTCTAATTTCCCTTGGCTTTGATATTTCCCCCAGTGGATTTTTGTGTTCTTTGAGTTGCAAGAACTATGACTAATTTTCTTTGAATGATTAATACCTCCTGTCTGGCAATTGCTTTATATTCCAGTAATATTTGCTGAATGAGAAAATGAACAAATTAAATAAAAGTAAATAATGTGTGTGGCAAAAATGTTCCAACATTAAACATGCTATACAAATGTGAGCTGTTATTTTTTCAGTCGTTCATTAAACTAACAATTCTGGAGTGCTTGCCCTGTGTCAGGCACTGTGCTGGGCAGACAGGAGAAATCTCTTGTCCATAGCAGCAGTACTTAACATGGCAGAGTTTATTACTGAGTACTCACAGAAGAGCTACTGTAACTGGATAGTGAAGCATGACTGGAGAGTAAAACATCTGAATAGTAAGAAAGAATAAAACTTTGACTTTATGAGAGCGCTGATGATTAGTAATGCAAACAACATTCTAAGTCTAATATTTAATTAATAAGAACATTTTACCCGAACGTGTCGCTCTCCTTTTCCTGTCTTTTTTTTTTTTTACTTTGCAGTGGATAAGTTCACATTTTAATATTTTATTTTCTTTAAGGAATCAGATCAAATCAAAATACATACCAAATATGTATTGAGCCCTTAATTTGTGCATATCATCACTTTTTTAAAATAAGAGAAGAATTTAGCCTTCTGAAACTTCTTCAGTGATAGTCAGTGGGCAAATAGTTCTTTCTATGAAAAATATTGACACTAAAAAATACTGAAAAGGGCTAGTTACAGAATTTAATTCCTCAAAATGTATTAAAATTGTACTAAATACTGGGCCCGTTTCTGAAGGCCATACCAAACTGATTTACATATCACTGCTGCCTTCAAGGAGCTTAACTTTAGTAAAAGAGGTAAGACATGCATTCAAATATCCAGACATAATTGTGGAAAACATATATCATAAGGAAGGAGTTAATTTATGCACTGTCAAATATTCAGAGAGAAATTGCCGTTATTGTAAATGGATCATAATGACAGCCTCACAAGGTGTTAAAATTGCCTATAGAGCCTTGAAATAATTAACAAAGTGTCTCCAGTGGAAAATCAGTCATTTCCTAGTTATTACCCAAGCCTTTACTACTCTGATTGCATGCATAATCTCAGAGGCTTTTGTGTAGTAACAGTAATTCATCTTCTACTTTATGTAGTCTTTTCAGGAACCATTGTTTGTATCTCTAAATACAGTCCACACAGACTCAGCTTTTCAATGCAATATTAATGTGGCATGTGCATAGAAATGTTCTCATCTACCTGTCTTTGCTGCTCTTATTCTAGTACTTTAAAAGCAGTTTGCAGCCGAGACATTTGTTCCTCTTATCGTGTGAGATGGGCTTATAGCTCACATACAGTGGAGGCATAATAGCTAAACAGTTATTATTTTAGCCTGGAGGATCATAGATCTGCCCCCTGGGATTTATGTAGTAGTTTCAAAGCCCAAGCTAAGTGAAATGTGTATTGTCAGACTTGCTTTACTATTCTTTCAAATGAAAGTTTAATCAACTTGACATTTACAGTAAGGAGTGTCTTGGTGACAGCATTTATGCAGCATACAGCAATCTCTATCCAAAAGTAAATATGAAAATATGGAATGAAGAAGGGAGGTTTGAGTGTCTAATTAAGACTCCAAGTCTAAAAACAGTTTTTCAAGGGCTGAGATATAGCTGAAGCCGTATCATGATTTAGAGGCCATTCTTTTTCCTCCACAGAGTTTTCAGGTTTTATGAGGGGGAAAAAAAAAGGATAAAGAGGTCAAATAAGTTTGGGAAACACCTCTGTCAAACATAGACAAAAATTATTAAGAACTTCTGAGAATATTTAGTAGGCTAATGCATAATTTTAATTTCCTTAAAAGAGATACGTTGTGCACTTTCCAGAACTTTTATGATTACAGAAACTTTTTTCTTTTCAGGAAACAGCTTTTGAGACAAATGTTCCACGGAAGGTGTTTTAATGCCAAAGAATTTTGCTTCTTCCCTGGGGGTTGTTTTACCTTGTCATTTTCACAATGAAGACTATTTTTCTTTATTTCTCTTCTCTATTTTCCTCTTAGAGCTTCTTGAAGTTTCTTTAAAACTTTATTTTAAAAAGCTTCTATTTCAGAAGTTAACAGGTAAAATTCAAGTAAATTCCTATTTTATAGAATTTTTATATGCCAACATAGATCTGTTAAATAGGTTTCTATGATTTTGGTTATACTGTGGTTATGAGACTTGATTTATCATTCAATACACTGTTTATAGTTCATGAAAGTGCAATTATTTGAACTAATGATTTCACTTACATGAAATACCTAGAGGAGTACTCATAAAACTCAGAGACAGAAAGTAGAATGGCAGTTGCCAGGGGCTGTCGGTGGGGCATGAGGAATGGGGAGGGATTGTTTAACGACTATAGAGTTTCAGTTTTGCAAGATGAGAAGTTTCTGGAGATAATTAGTTGCTCAACAATGTAACTATGCTTAACACTAACGAGCCATATACTTAAAAATGGTTGAGATGGTAAATTTTATGTTATGTGTATACTATCACAATTTTAAAATTATGTGATTTTCAATATAGTACTTTATTAAACCTCATTAAATGTAAAGACAAAAATTGAATCATTTGACTATTTGAAATTATTTATCTCTTTATGAAAAAAGAAAACTGGACTAGTAGAGAAAAAAAATCTCTACCAGAGATTTTTGACTAGAACGGAAATCTAAAACTTTTGAAACAGTCTCCTCAATTAAGACAGCAACTAACAATACAAATATTTGGTATTCTGGTAAAACTTCAAAATTTTATGGACTTTAAAATAAAAGATACTTTAAAATTTCAAGTTGTTTCCTCAAATATACATATAGAGATTCTTATTAATCATATTTGAATCCATATTAATTGTATATTTCTAAATTAACTTGTTACCATGCATTTAGATATTTATCCCTAAATTTTAACTTTTGGTGCTCCAAACTGCTATACCATTATTATATGATTTCCTATCTAACTGATTTTTGGCTAGATTTCTGGAAACATTTGCCATCATTTAGGAAAACTATGTACCCTACCTACAATGAGGAAAATATGTTTCTATACTCCTTTCTTCTCTAGCTCTGTTCTAGAGAACCATTTGGCTTCTTTGTTTCATATAGGTGGTATTTAGTAAAATTATAATTCCCTCAAGAATTTAAGGGCACGTAGGAAGTAAATACAAACCCCACACAGTACTTAATAATCACATGTAGCAGTGTTAGAAAAACACAATACATACAGCAGCAAAAACCCCTCTCATACCAAGAGTTTTTGCTGCCTGCTCCCATTTTATGCAGCACCGCGCAGGTGCTCCAAGGAAATAGATATAGGGCTTTCAATTAATGAATGACAACAGAAACATTAATATTCCTGCCACACAGCCAAATCTATGTTGTATGAAATAAGACTGTATTTATTGTGTACAAGTAGAGTGGTAAATGCACACAGTGAGGTGATAATTGAAGAGGGAGTTGGAAGAACTCTAGGTGAAGATAATTGCGGGTGTACTTGCCATTTATCTTTCTTCAAGTCCCAGAATAGAGTTTTAGAACTATTTGTATTATTAAGGAAGGAAGCCTGCAGAACTATTATAGGGTCAACATTTCAGGAGCAAGATGAGACTTGGAGGCAGGTTTGGTAAAGAAAATGAGACTAGAACAACAGAAAGGCATAATTTAAGGGAACTGAAATTATCCCTGGAGTGAAAAGTGTCATCTCTTCATGATCAGAATGAAAATGTCTCTCATGAGCCCAAAGGTACTAGAAATTTCCATAGTACCCAAAAGTATGAGTGATCAATGTTGAGATGTGACCAAATTCAAATTCACACTTTGTTACATAGGCCTGGAGGACATGAGACTTAAGGTTGGTGAGGAGGCTGCAGGAGAGAAATAGGGAAACAGTATGCCCTATGAGTTCCCACCTATTGTACCATCTCTGAATCTTCAGAATATCTACCTGGAAGGAGAGTCCCACGGGGATGAGAACTGTACCTGTGAAGAAGGGGAGAAAGAGCCTTGATTTTAGCCTTATGTCCAACGGTGTTAAAAATGCAGAAAATAATCATACAGAGACTTCGTCAGAATAATGCAAAGATGCAGTCCATGAAGATGTCAGGAAAAGGAGAGCATCCCCACATACAGTATAGGATATGACAAGGTAATCATTGTGAGAGCTTTTGGAGAGGTCTTAAAGCTGTCAGTGATATGGGAGAGGGGTAGGGAAGTGCTTGGTAGAGAAGGGTGGAGTCCCTGGCGAGGGCTCCACCCTCGGGCCTGTGCCCACAGACCCAAATGAGGACAGGAATTTCTGTTTTCACACCCCAAAAGTTGCCTTTTGGTCTGCCACACCCCCCATCCTGTGCCCATAAAAACCCAGGACTGTAGCGGGCACACACACAAGCAGCTGGATGTTGAGAGGAGCAGAAGAGCACACCAACAGACACCAGCAGACACTGGCAGGCAGGCCATTGACAGCAGGATGATGTGAAATTCAGTCAGGGGTTATCAGAGGAGAGTCTGGCCACTGGGTGGCCCAACTCCAGGGGAAGACCACCTTCCCACTCCATCCCCCTTCTGGCTCCCCATCCACCTCACTGACAGCTACCTCCACCACTCAATAAAACCTTGCACCCATCCTCCAAGCCCACGTGTGACCCAATTTTTCCAGTACACTAGGGCAAGAACCTGGGATACAGAAAGCCCTCTGTCCTCAGGATAAGGCAGAGCATCTAATTGAGCTGATTAACACAAGCCACCTGCAGATGGCAAAGCTGAAAGAGCACACTGTAACACACGCCCACTGGGGCTTCAGGAGCTGTAAACACTCAACCCTAGATGCTGCCGTGGGGTCGTAGCCCAAAAACACTCTCCACGACCAGCCTGTCTTCATGTTCCCCCTAGGGGTTTGAGCACTGGGGCACGGAAGGAAGAAGCGAGCCACACCCCTGTCACATGCCCTGTGAGGGGGATAAGGGAATTCCTGCCATTTCATCAGCATCTCATCACTCATTGTTTTTATCCCCCGCCCCCTACTCCATATAGTATTTAGTGCAAAATTCTAAAATAAACAGGGTATACGATTCTTCAATTCTGGGTCAAAGAAAAACCAGAAAGCTAAGGAGGTTGTATCCTAATTACATGTACAGTCTTTAGAGTGAGAGCAGCTGGAGAGAAGGGAGGGAATCCGCCACATCCCTGAAACCTGGAGGGCATAGGAAAGTCTACCTGGGATGGAGCAGTGGGCCAGGGGTTTTACCCAAAAGAGATCCCACATAGACCCTCACTATCAAAGCGACTGATTCAAACTTATATATTTATTATTTTTCAGATGAACTGCTACAATGAAACTATAACAGAATCATTTCCACTAGATGCCCCGATGTATTAATACAATTTATTAAGCAAAGATGTAAGATGAAAGAGAAAATAATTTTTTAAAATCTCCCTTGCAAAGCAAAAAGAACGGGAAATCCTAAGTCTAGTTACTAAATCATTTGGTCTTTTTTCTCTAACAGTAAATCATTTGAACTAAGAGTTGTGCCTGAAGAAGTTTTTAAAAATACCCTATTTAAGTCTAAGAAACACCACTGATTGTGTCATCTGAACTCATAATTTCAGAGAACCTAGCCTGGATTCTTTTATCTTGTGCACACTTGATTTCATATCAGTAGTGACCCAAGGTTAAATGGCATGATTATTTTCTTCAGTTCATAGAGTTAAAGTTTGTTCTGCCCCGTAGCTTCCTGCTGAGGCATCTTTTTACATTAATTCCCACACTGTGTGATTTGAAGGCTCTGCCTCCATGGACAGTTCCAGAACACATCGTGCTGCTTCCTGCAGCAGTTCATGCACAAACTCCCAACCGCTTGAAAGTGGCTCTCAAACCTTTCCAGGCACAAAAATCACCTGGATCTTGTTAAAAATACTGACTCCTGGTTTTACATGTTGAAATCAATTTTCCCAATGGTTCAATTGCAGATGATTCTCAGATCCTGCTTTGACAAACACTGTTTTATTTTTCCTTGTCCTGTCTCTTTAATGAAGCTTTTCCAAATCCTGTGCATATGGATTTCTTCCTCTGTCTATCTAGAGTGATATATTGACCTCTGATTTAGCCCCGGATAGTTTATCTTCTTGCATTGTTGCTTATTTCATGTGTTAATATCTCAGTTCTGAAATATACTGAACACTACAGGGAGGAATCCCATGTCTTAAGTGACTGTATAGTAATATATAATAAGCTTTAAGTAATATTGGCATGGAGTGCCCATGGAACAGAGAGCCTTTAATAGTGAAAGAATGGAGTTATTTATATCTTTGGAGATAAATGGACAAAGAGGACCTGGGAGAAAGCAGAGGCATTAGATGAAGAATGTACTAACACATGGGCAGTGTTGCAGCCTAATCCTTTGGTGCCACTATAGACACAAAAACATGAGGCAATCCACACACAGGGTGGGGAACCACAGAGTCAGGGAGACCCATGGACAGGCTCTGTCTTTCCTTGCTATATTTCTTGGGTGTGTCTTTTTTCTAAACTTTAGCATACCCAACTAGAAAATAAAATTGTGTTACATGTTGTCGAAGATCCCTTCTGATGCTACAGAGTTTAGAAATTTTTTTGTATCTGGGGAAGATACCAACTATAGCAGAAACATTGGTGTTACACAAATGAAGAATTTTCTGGTTGTGAAGTTGTCACTACCATTGTTCTCAGTTTTCTTTTTTTAATTGCAAATTATTTTCTCATTTAAAAAAATCTTTACACATATTTTCTCCACTGTTTTACATCCCTTATAAATAGAGGCAATGATATTTGATATTATATGTAATTATTCTGATTCTATATGTAATTATACTAAGGCTTGTTAGCACACTGATATTCATTTCTGCCACTTCTATGGGAAATGTCTTGTTGGAAGATTTTTGCATCTGAGAACCTCCCTGAGATGTTCTATTTTATTATCCTGTCTTCCTTTTGCCAATAACTTCTGTAAAACCTTTTTCCACGTCATCTCACAATTTATTTTTCCTTTCCATTGTTCTGTAAAATGTGCATTTCATAATATAACTACATTATACAAGTTCCAGGCTCCTTCTAGACCTAAATGAATGTGTGTGGTTTTATAAGTAAGGTTTTTGTAAGTTGATTTCTATTATTTATAGCTGATGTATACGTATCATTTAAGTACCTTTAGTTTTACAATAAAAATGATAATAGGCAATTAGATTATTTTCAAATATCCCATATAATTTCTACTAGAAGTATTTAAGATTATATCACTTTTCTATCTTATGTAGCATAATACATTTCAAATATTTAGTTTCTTTAAATTTTGTTTAATGCTAAACATTATCACTTTTTATTATTTAGGTAAAATGACAAAAGTTAAGAAAAAATTAAAAGGAAAATATTAGTAATAATTCTCTTAATTTACCATAAAACTTTTCATTCATGAATGTTGAATTAATCATAGCATAACGCCATTTTGTAATTCTTTTTACTTGCTGATATATCATAAAAATTATCACACAATCATTATAATTTTTAATGGTTGCATAACATTTCCTTGAGTTAGTGTGACAAATTTCCCATCATTTTGCACATTTAGGCTTGTTTTCTATTTCTTTATTATCTTTTGATACTGCTATGATTCATGCAAATAGCCTTTTTCTACTTTCGGATTATTTCCTTACAAATAGGATAGCTAAATTAAAAGGTAGGAGCATTTTGTGGGTTCTGAGGAAAATTATTATCATATTGCTTTCTGAAATGTATTGTTCCACTTTTCATTGTCACTCTCAGTATATATGCATTAGTGAAACACAGCTTTATCCCAAGCAGCAAGTATAGCAAGTGTCATTCACTTTTTAAAACATTGTGGTACAACATATGCAACATAAAATTTACCCTTTTAACAATTTTTAAATGTGCAATTCATGGCATTGAGTACATTCATAATATTGTGCAACCATCACTACTATCCATTTCCATAGTTTTTCATCATCCCAAACAGAAACACTGTATCTATTAAATAATGTCTCCCCATTTTCCACTTCTCCTCAACCCCTGGTAACCTCTATTCTATTTTCTGTCTCTATGAAACCTATTGTAGGTACTTCATATAAGTGGAATCATACCACATTTGTCTTTCTGTGACTGGTTTATTTCACCTAGCAAAATGGTTTTAAGATTCATCTATGTTGTAGCATGTATCAGAATTTCATTCCTTTTTAAGGCTGAATAAAACTCCATTGTATGTATTTACATTCTGTTTATCCATTCATTGATCCATGATTATTTGGGTTCTTTTCCACCTTTGGGTTATCATGAATAATGCAGCAATGAACATTGGTATATGAGTATTTGAGTCTCTACTTTTCAATCTTTGGGGTATATGTGGAGAAGTAGAGTCATTGGATCACATGGCAATTCTGTCTAACTTTTGAAGAGTGTTATTCTTTCATGGTCAATAAAAAGTTCTTTGATTTTTTTGCTTATTTGTTTAGTACTTTCCATGTTTGCTTTGTTTTGGCTTAACTTTTTTTTTTTAAGTCTCAATATTTTCCTTATCTATATTAATTTATGTTGCATCTTCTATAATTATCAGTTCATGTCCTCTGTCCATTTATTGATTACCTTTTTTTTCTGAATGTTTTTCTAAAAATCTGAATGAGACCCATCATGGACATCTCCTTCTTTTGCCTACTCAGAGTCCTTTCTCTTTTATACATGGATTTTTCCTTTGGGAATTATCCCTCTTCTGCTGCAGACTACACAGCATCAGACATGTGCCCACTCCCTGGCCAATTAAACACTCCCTGGTACTTGAATCCTGAAAAGAATGAAACAAAAATAGAAAATGATGAAAGCCACATCAAGATGCCTATATCTTTCTGAAAGTCTGCCCAGCCATTAGAGTTTCTCATATTTACATGAAATTTCCCTTGGTTCTCATTCATACCAAGAACTGATTTTTTTGTCTTTAGTTTTACAAGGTGCATCACATAATTTAATTCAAAAAATTCTTCTGTTTAAAAAAGAAATTATCTAGAGTTATTTCTATTGTTTATAATTAGACTTGATAGAATAGTTACCCATATTATATAATCAATCCTTAGTCAAATTTATATATTTTTTCCCAGTTTGTTGACTCCTTTTTAATTTTGTTTTTTCTCTTTTTAGAAATGTTTAATCTGTAGAATTAAATCTCTAACTTTTTATGTGACTTTTTACTCAATTTCTTCAAAGCTAAAAATTAGCTTCCCTCCACCAGTTTAATAATTAATCTCTTCACTTTTTATTTTGACTACATCTAAATTATTCCAATTTATGCCCAATTTTTCATTATTCCTAAATATATATTTTTTTAATGCTTGCTAGTAGCAAGTGACTTTAGGTTGATTAATATGTTTTTATGTAGCTCCAACTCTCCAGGTCTCTTAACCTGTTTGATTTTATATATATAACAGATACTTCTCACTTGTTGAGGAATCCATTCCAAAGCTCCTAAGGGTAATGATATTCTATATATACAATATTTTAGGAAAGAAGGAAGTAGTGGAAGCATATGCATAGCTATTCTTTCTTTCTCTTCCTAGTCTCAGTTCTTCTTTTTTTTTCTTATCAGTGGAGCAAGGATGACAATTCTATAGGCAGCAGGAGAGGCTCTGGATTATAATCCAGTGGGGAAACAAAAGCATGTGCTGGGAAGAATACCCATCAGAAGCCAGGGTGAAATGGGGAAATATAGAACATGGGAGAGTTAGCTAAGTGAAAATGACATAAAAGTATTGGAGGCTCACTCTTTGCCTCATGCAAAAGGGACTAACCTGAGCACTTAAAACAGAGATGCAAAAATAATAATAGGAATGTGAGACTCTTATTACATAAAAATCTTAACACAGAAGCTTACTGTCTACAGTAGGTACTGATGGTGGTGGTGGCCCATCTGGAGCAGCTGCTGTGGAGACACCTGCTGCAGCAGGGAGGGCATAGCAATGGCTGCATGTTTTGTGGAGCTGGCGGGGGCAGGATCAGGTGGGAGCCCTGCCCCCTACCAAGTTGGCAGGGCAGGAGCCCCATACTCCTGGGTGCAGCTTTAGCTGCCCAGCCATGGCTCCAGGTCCCTGCATTCCTGGGGCTCTCAGGGCCCAGGAGGCCCCATGCCCCTGCAAGCTTGAAAGTGCCCTGCTCCCCTCTCCCAACTCCCGGTGCCTGCTTGGGATGGAGCAAAGTTGTGGACAACCCTGGGCACTGTCACAACCTGGCCAGGTGTGCCCGCACGTAGGGTGGTGCTGACATACCAGCCCCCTGCCATCTTGGCCCCCTCTGGACTTTGGGTGCCGAGGAGTGTGGGATGGGAGTAAGGAGCAGGGAGGGCGGTTGAGGGCACCTCTTGGCATGGACACCCTGCATGCTGGAGATGGCATGTTAGAGGCCCAGCATGGGGGCTGGGCTGCCAGTACTGGGCAAAGTCCATGATCAGGAGTGAGATCTTCATTGATGACCACTCAGCCAATTGGATGGTGCTTTTTCCAGGCCTGCCTGTGGCTGCCCATGGATCAATCAGCACACACTGTCTCCATTCTGAGCACATAAAAACTCCAGACTCAGCCAGACTCACACTTGTTGGGATGACCTGCCTGCAAAAAGGAACTACCCACTGTAGGTCTACTCTCCACTGAAAGCTGGACACTCATCAGGATGATCTGCCTGCAGAAAACAGCTATCCATGCCAGGTGGATAGCTCTCCATCAAGAGCTGAATACTCACTGGGATGATCTGCCTGCGGAAAAGAGCTACCCTCTATGGGCCTCCTCTCCACTGAGAGCTGCACACCCATCAGGATGATCAGCTTGCAGAAAGGAGCTACTAACTTTTGAGTCTCCTGAGAGCTATTCCATCACTCAGTGAAGCTCCTCTCTGCTGTGCTCACCCTCCAGTTGTCCAGGAATGGCATTTTTCCTGGAGGAAGGACAAGAATTCCAGATCTTCTGAATGGGACTGAAAAAGCTGTAACACAAACAGGGCTGAAACACACCCCCCATTCACCATGTTGCAGGCAATCAGAAGGAGAGAAGGAGAGAAGAGCTACAGTCCTTTGGGGACCCCACGCCCAGGGGCTCCCCAAGCCAGGGCTGTGACACCCTCTTTGGGGGTGTGCAGTTCCTGGTGTCTCCAAGCTTCCGGGCACCAACTCATTTCCCTTGCCCAGACATGGGTACCCACAACAGAAGCTGCTTGCAGTACATCTGATCCAGCCACAGTCTTGCAAAGAGCTGGCCCCTGAGCCGGTGCCTGTGGTGGCACCTGGAGCTGCCTGCACTGTCACAGTGTGTCTGGAATTGGTGGGTTCTTGGTCTCACTGACTTCAGGAATGAAGCCGTGGACCCTCGCGGTGAGTGTTACAGTTCTTAAAGGCGGTGTGTCTAGAGTTTGTTCCTTCTGATGTTCGGATGTGTTCAGAGTTTCTTCCTTCCAGTGGGTTCGTGGTCTCGCTGGCTCAAGAGTGAAGCTGCAGACCTTCGCGGTGAGTGTTACAGCTCTTAAGGTGGCGCATCTGGAGTTGTTCATTCCTCCTGGTGGGTTTGTGGTCTCACTGGCTTCGGGAGTGAAACTGCAGACCTTCGCAGTCAGTGTTACAGCTCATAAAGGCAGTGTGGACCCAAACAGTGAGCAGCAGCAAGATTTATTGCAAACAGCGAAAGTACAAAGCTTTCACACTGTGGAAGTGGACCCGAGCAGGTTGCAAGTGGTGGCTCAGGCAGCCTGCTTTTATTCTCTTATCTGGCCCCACCCACATCCTGCTGATTGGTCCATTTTACAGAGAGCCGACTGGTCTGTTTTACAGAGAGCTGATTGGTGTGTTTACAATCCCTGAGCTAGACACAAAAGTTCTCCCTCCCCACCAGATTAACTAGATACAGAGTGCCGATTGGTGCCTCCACAAACCCTGAGCTAGACACAGGGTGCTGATTGGTGTGTTTACAAGCCCTCAGCTAGATACAGAGTGCTGATTGGTGTATTTACAATCCCTTAGCTAGACATAAAGGTTCTGCAAGTCACCACTAGACTCAGGAGCCCAGCTGGCTTCACTCAGTGGATCTTGCACAGGGTCGCAGGTGGAGCTGCCTGCCAGTCCAGCACCTTGCGCCTGCACTCCTCAGCCCTTGGGCGGTCGATGGGACCAGGTGCCGTGGAGCAGGGGGCCCCGCTTATTGGGGAGGCTCAGGCCGCGCAGGAGCCCACGGCGGCTGAGGGCTGGGGGAGGGCAGGCACCTAAGGCCCGGGAAGAAATGGAGCGCAGCCCCCGTGGGCCGGCACTGCTGGCGGACCCAGTGCACCCTCTACAGCTGCTGGCTCGGGTGCTAAGCCCCTCACTGCCCGGGCCTGCTGGGCCCGCCAAGCCCACGCCCATCTGGAACTCTAGGTGTCCCTCAAGCGCCTCGCGCAGCCCCGGTTCCTGCCGGAGCCTCTCCCTCCACACCTCCTGGCAAGCTGAGGGAGCCGACTCCGGCCTCAACCAGCCCAGAGAGGGGCCCGCACAGCGCGGTGGCGGGCTGAAGGGCTCCCCGACCATGGCCAGAGTGGACGCCAAGGCCAAGGAGGCGCCAAGAGCGAGCGAGGGCTGCGAGGGCTGCCAGCATGCTGTCACCTCTCAACAGTAGCCAGCATGCCTGGCTGTGAGCAGTGGCCCATGCTCACTCACTCCCAAACCCTTCGCTGCTCCATGCCTGGCTCAGCCTTGGCAGGCGTAGGATTCAGGCCAGTAGCACAAACCGAGCTCAGCCTGCCAGGCCAGGTGGGTGGAATGAGCCCAGTAGGTCCAAACTCAGGCAAAGGTGCCACTGGCCAGAGAGGTTTCTGGCTGGAAAAGCTACACTTAAGGATCCTGTGACAGTACCAGCAGAGTTGCTCTGATTGTAACCTAGCCCATCTGATTCTTCTTAATCTGCTATGATTCCTGTGATACTCTGGGAACTCTAGGGTTCTACAGGACAAGATTTGAAAACCACTGGTTTAAAGAATAAGAGATGTCATATATCATCATAATTTGGCTGACAGTAGCTTAAATAACACCTCTCTTTGAGGGAGTTTTAGTTGAAATAGGGATCAAAGTAACTGAACCTCAGTAGAAAAATTTCATAAATCAGAGTGAGTGGGAGAATTGGTAGTGAGGGAGGTGGCAGGCACAGAACCAATTCAATTGCTCTAAAATCATGTTATTCATCCTGTTACCTACTCCCTGGATGAAGTGATGGCCACAGACAATTTATTGTGAGACATTGTCATTAGAAGACTCTCAATACTTTTTGAGAAGCACACTGTTCACACAAATTAATCCTAATCCTACCAAATAGGCCACTTTATAAATATACCTAATAATAAATAGGCATTTGAAATGACTCCCAAGAAAGACTAGTAGAGAAGACTAAAATTCGAATACGATGACGGCAAATTAGAAAAAAGAATTTTAGATTTTTCTCCAAGTCAATCAAACCAGGCTAACATATTTAAAGGGAAAATGGCAAATGGTGATTATTTAGTGCCTGAGAGCCTGAGGGAGGGTTTTCTTTGTAATCTCAACCAAAGAACTGAATGCTCCAAAATGTCACTGAAGAACAAAATGTCATCTGGTGGAATTGATGGCTGACAAAATTAGAGCAAGTTGAAGAAACTATTACTTTGTGCCACGTATAGCCAACTTGTGAAACCCACTGCCACAGGAAGTTAGGGAGTTGAGCACCATAGTTGGATTTAAAATGGAATGAATAACTTTATGACTAATAAATGTCAGTGCCAGTTCTTCATGCTAAGATAAAAGGGGTAGTCAAAGTATACGTTTCAGAGCACAGGCCAAGTGCTGCAGGGGTTAGAAGTAGGGACCTTTCCCTTGTAAACACTGATATATAATTAGCCATTCAGAACACAAGAAACATTTTTACCTCTCTGCCAGAACTAGATACTGCCCCCTGCAGAAGTAGGGGTCCGGGAGAGGGGCTGCTGTGGAGTTAAGTGTGGAAGGATCCTCAGTAAATGGCCTGTGCTGAGCTTGCACAGCCATGAGCTACCAACAAGCAAGCAAACAAAAAAAAGTTGAGACTGTTCTCCTGCCACCCGCAGTTACCTCCTCCACCACCTCAAACATTTTCATGCTGAGCTTGCGTCCTACTGACTAAAATCAACATTGGGCCATCACCTTCTTCATCAGCTGAGTATCCTGGTGGTCCCATTCTGCTCTCCTCGCTTCAGGAAAAGATGTCTCTATTTCTGAGTGTCTGCTCATAGTTCCCATACATTCTCCCATCTTGATAATCTGGACTGGATCATGAAGAAACATGAAGATCCTTGAACACTTTTCTTGGTGCAGGTGTTCACAATTCAACAGCTTTGAGGGTCAAAGTAGGTAATGTAATTGTGTGCAGAAGCCCAAGTATAAGAACATTTAACTTCCAGAAATAGAATCAAACAGTCTTTATTTTTACTAAATTAGAACTAAATTAGAAGTGCATGGCATAATGTAAGCAGATATGATATTTTGGATTATATATTAAATTCAAAATAAAAAGATTAACTGAAAATTTTCAAACTCCAATTATTCTGATTTATAATTAGAAAACTAACATCTTTTTTCTATATAACATGGATTAGACTTTGTATTCCTCTTTAAAATAGATGTACAGAATTTGGCCTTGAATCCCTTAAATGAGAACAATATTTTGTTTTATTTTAGCTCATAACGGAGAACACATGCTTTTAATATAGGTTTACTTCCAAACATAGTTTGCTTTTATGTTTAGAGTAACTACTTTCACGACATTGAAGACATCTAATTTTCTAACACCATCATATTTTGCTGTCAGTATCATATTATAATGCTACTTGGTTTATTTGATAACCATTCATTCTATCAGTATTAATTGTGAAAAACAAAGTGAAAAACATTTGTTTATTTTTAAAAAGTTTGAAGTTAGAGAACTTTGTTTGGAATTAGGTCTTCAACTCTGCAATTGGGGAATTCCTGTAATTTCCAATTCTGAAAACTGAGTCTGGTTTAAAAAGTGTGGTAGATTATTTCTTGCCAAAGAAACAATTCTTTCAAAAAATAAGATAATCAAAACATAAATTTAAAAAAATTTTATAAGCTCCCTTGCATTAAAAAAACTAATAATTACTTTTCATGGTAGCATTACTTATTTGATTTGCTTTTAAAATAGAACACCATTGAAATTTCTGTTGTTTCTCTCAGCTCGTTAAATTCTCATGCGTTATCTTTCTGTAGTTTGTTCATAATGATGACTTCAGTTGCATTTTTTGACAAAGACATACTTTGTGTATTAAACATGTAAGAGTTGTCTCCAATTGTTTTCCTTGTAGAGATCTTTTATTTAACAATAAATAAGTTAAATTTATTCTTAGGTATTTTTTAAGTTATTGTAAATGAAGAGTGCCTTCTTGATTTCTCTGTCAGCTATTACATTATTGATAAACAGAAATACTACAGATTTTTGTATATTTTTTGTTTCTTTGTATATTTATTTAGTTTCTTTGAAAACAACTTTGTTCTCTCCTACTTTTCTTGAATTATATTGTCTTTGCAGTCTCTATGTTATTTTCCACTTTTGCTACAGACATGGAGTCACAAAATATTGCCTAACTACAGAAAAATAACAGCACAACTATAATAAAAATGGAAACTGATACAATCATTGTCACACTCAAAAGATATGACTCTAGTAAATTGGAGAGAACATGCCATTCTAAAGAGAATGGCAATTATACAGTTCCAGCCAATTGCCACCTTGTAAGACTGAGGCTTAGTGTTGTGAGAACATCTGGATGATTCCAGAGAGTTCAAATACCCAGAAAACTTTCTCCCAAGTTTTAAATGTAACCAACTTATTGAAATATTTTTTATTGATACGTAATATTTGTGTATTTTTATGGGGCTCATGTGACATTTTCTTACATGCACAGAATGTATAACAATCAAGTCAGGGCATTTAGAGTATCCATCACCTCAGGTAGTTATCATTTCTATATGTTGGGAACATTTCAAATTCTCTCTTCTAGCTATTTTGAAACATATGATACGTTATTAACTATAATCATCCTACTCTGATAATAAATATTCATTCTGTCTAACTGTTTCTACCCTTAACCAGCCTCTCCTCATGCCCTTCCCACACACTCTTCTCAGCCTCTGGTAGCTATCATTCTACTCTTTACCTCTACAAGATCAACTTTTTTAGCTCCAATATATGAATGAGAATATGCTGTATTTGTCTTACTGTGCTTGGCTTATTTCACTTAACATAGTGATCCCTAGTTCTGTCCAAGTTGCTGCAAATTACAGGATTTCATTCCTTTTCTAGTCAAATAGTACTCCATTGTGGGTATATACCACATTTTCTTTATTCATTTATCTGATGTTAGACACAGGTTGATTCCATATCTTTGCTATTGTGAATTATACTGCAGTAAACATGAGGGTACAGATATCTCTTTGATATACTGATTTCCTTTCCTTTAGATAAATACCCAGTAATGGGATTGCTGAATCGTATGGTAGTTCTATTTTTAATTTTTAAAGAAATTCCTATACTATATTCCATAGTGGCTGTACTAATTTACATTCCCACCAACAGTGTATAAAAGTTCTTTTTTCCCTCTACATCTTCATCAGCATCTGTTATTTTTTGTCTTTTTAATAATAATAGCCATTCAAACTAGGGTAAGATTAGATTAGTAATATTGAACTTTTTAATATACCTGTTGACATATATGTATGTCTTCTTTTGAGAAATATTTTTTCATGTACTTTGTCCACTTTTCAAATGGGATTACATGCTTTCTTGCTGTTGAGTTGTTTTGGTTTGTTGTCTTTTTTGGATATTGGTCCCTTATCAGATGAATAGTTTGCAAATATTTTCTCCCATTCAACAGGTTGTCTTGTCACTCTGGTTGTGATTTCTTTTGTTGTGTGGAAGCATTTTAGTGTATTATAGTCCTGTCTGTCTACTTTTGATTTTGTTTCCTGTGCTTTTGAGATCTTAGTCGTAAAATCTTTGCATAGACCAATGTCCTGAAGTATTGTTTTCTCCTAGTAGTTTTTATTTTCAGGTCTTATGTTTAGGTCTTTACTACATTTTGAGTTGATTTTTGTATATGGTGAGAGATAGAGGTCTAGTTCATTCTTTTGCATATGGGTATTAAATTTTCCCAGCACTGTTTATTGAAGAGGATGTCCTTTCTCCAGGGTATGTTCTTGGCGCCTTTGTTGAAAATAGTTGGCTGTAAATACCTGGATTTGTTTCTAGGTTCTGTATGCTGTTCCATTGGTCTATGTGTCTGTTTTTAATACCAATACCATGCTCATTTGGTTACTATAGCCTTGTAACATATTTTGAAGTCAGTTAGTGTGACACCTCCAGCTTTGTTCTTTTTGTTCATAATTGCATTTGCTATTCGGGATCTTTTTTGGTTCCATACAAATTTGAGGATTCTTTTCTTTCTGTGAAAAACGACATTGGTATTTTGATAGGAATTTTGTTGAATATGTAGATTGCCTTCAGCAGTATGGTCATTTTAACAATATTAGTTCTTCCAATTGAAGAGCATGGGATGTCTTTCCATTTATTTGTGTCATCTTCAATTTCTTTTATCTTCTTTTCTTTAGAGACAGGGTCTCACTATGTCACTCAGGCTGGAGTGCAGTGGTGTGATCATAGCTCATTGTAACCTCAAACTCCTGGGCTCAATAAATTCTCCTGCCTTAGTCTCTCAAGTAGCTAGGTCTATATAGACATGTGTCACCATACCCAGCAAATTTTTTTTTTTTTTTTTTTAGAGAGAGGCTCTTGCCATGTTTTCTAGGCTGGTCTTGAACTCCTGGACTCAAGAGATCCTCCCACCTCAGCCTCCCAAAGTGTTGGGATTACATGCATGAGCAATCACACTCAGCCCTCTTCAATTTCTTTCATCAGTGTTTTGTTGTTTTCCTTGCAAAGATCTTTCACTCCCTTGGTTAAATTTATTTTTAGGTATTTTTAAGCTATTGCAAATGAGATTGCCTTCTTGATTTCTTTTCAGCTATTTCATTATTGATAAATAAAAATGCTACTGATTTTTGTATATTTATTTTGTTTCCTGCAAATTTGTTTGATTTATTATCAAGTCTAAGAGTTTTTTTGTGGAGTCTTCAGATTTTTCTAAATAAAAGATCATGTTATCTGCAAAAAGAAACAGTTTGACTTCCTCTTGTCCAATTTGGATACCTTTTATTTCTTTCTCTTGCCTAATTGCTCTGGTGAGGACTTCCAGTATATAAATATAAAACTCACTGGTAGAGCAAACACACAAATAAGGAAGAGAAAGGACTCATGTTACCACTACAGAAAACCACCAAACTATGATGACAAACAATAAAAGAGAAAGAAAGAAACTAAGGACATACAAAACAACCAGAAAACAATTAACAAAACTACAAGAATAAGCCTTCACTTACCAATAATAACCTTGAATGTAAACAGATTAAATTATCCACTTATAAAATATAGACTGGCTGAATGGGTCCAAAAACATATGACCCAATTGTATGCTATCTACAAGAAACTCACCCCACCTGTAAAGACACATATAGACTGAAAGCAAAGGAATTAAAAAAAAAATTCCATGCAAATGGAAACCAAAAGTGAGCAGGAGTTGCTATACTTATATCACATAAAAGAGACTTTGTGTCAAAACAGTTAAAAAAAGAGACAAGGACAGTATTTAGATAATGATAAAGGGGTAGATTCAGCAAGATAATATAACGATTCTAAATACATATGCACCCAACACTGAAGCACCCAGATTTATAAAACAAACATTATCCAAAGGGAGAGATAGACTTCAATGCAATAATAGTTGGGGACTTCAACCCCCATCAACACTAGACAGATATTCTGACAGAAAATTAACAAAGAAACATTGAATCTAAAGTGAACTTAAATTTCACTTTAGATCAAATAGACCTAACAGACACCTACAGAACATTTTATTCAACAGCTACGGAATATACATTCCTCTTCTTGGCACAAGAAACATTCTCCAGGTCATATGTTTGGCCACAAAATGAGTCCACAATTTTTAAAAAATCAAATTTATACCAACTATCTTCTCGGATTATAGTGAATTAAAACTAGAAATTAATAAAAAGAGGAATTTTGGAAACTATGCAATTACACTGAAATTAGACAACATTCTCCTGAACAACCATTGGTCAAGAAAAAAAATTAAGAATAATTTTTTTAATTTTAGATTTTTAAAATTTCTTCAAATTTGTTATGTATCAGGAGTGACTGAAATAAAAAATATAATTGAGTCCCATCATCATCACCACCATCATCATGGAAATGGCTTTAAGAGAAAACTGGTCAAATGAATATTATTGCTTCTAATTTTCAACAAGTAAATAGTTGCCACTGATAAACTGACAGCCAGTAGTCTGTCAAGAATGCTCAAGATATGTTATATAATACAACATACCTGCTCATAGGGGGAAAAATCCTAGGAAATACCTTATATGTAGTTCTTGATTTAATCATACAAGACAAGCACAAAAGCACCACCTGTGCCTCTGAGAACACTGGACCATGCACCCTTGAGAAAAGCTTTGCCCCCTTCATCACTAGCAATCTTCCTCCAGCAGTCAAGCATGCCTGTGTACATGAGGTCAGTTCCTTTGCACCCTGACTGCATCATCATGCGGGGGCGAACTGTGTCAAGTGGATAGGAAGCCAATCCAGCAACAGCCCTGACAGTCTGTGCGATCATCCAGCTGATGACAATGTGAGTGTTCTTGGGATCCGGAAGCATTCCATTTCTAGTGTCATAGATACCGAAGTAGGCAGCTCGGTAGATGATAATAACCTGCACAGACACGTTGAAGCCTTGGTACGGGCCCTTAATCCCATTAGATTTACAT
The DNA here is from genome assembly GCF_000001405.40 of Homo sapiens. NCBI lineage: Eukaryota > Metazoa > Chordata > Mammalia > Primates > Hominidae > Homo > Homo sapiens. The sequence continues at coordinate 89,477 of NW_003315921.1, forward strand.
ATCTTAACCAGGCAGTCACTGAGGCCTCGGAATTCCCTTTCGCTTCAGCTTTACCCACATCGGCTGCTAGACGAGTATGGGCAAAATCAAGAGGGTACACAAAACACAAGGATGTGGCCCCAGCGGCACAGCCTGATGTCAGATTCCCTGCAAAGTAGAGCCAAAACTGGGTCCTCTTGTCCACCCCACCCAGGAAGATCTGCTTGTATTTATCTTTGAAGGCGAAGTTGAGAGCCTGGGTGGGGAAGTATCTGAAGACAGTGGCCAGGTTACTGCGCCAGAAGGACAGGACTCCCCTGCTCCTTGGGAATACGGACCACGCAGTCTATAATGCCCTTGTATTGCTTATCTGCGGTGATATGTTTGCTGGCATGCTGAACCTGCATCAGCAGCTTGACCTGGACGGTGGGTGCTACCGCTATCTTGAAGATGGCTGTGGCCACTCCATCTCCCAGGAAGTCCTTGGCAAAGGACACAGTGACATCTATCATGTTGAAAGGAAAGAGGAGGCAGGCTACTGCGGGACGGGACAGGGTCGGCAACCGGCTTTGACTCTGGGGCTGCGGGAGAAGAAAATTTTTAAAAACTGAAACGAATAAAAATGGAAACACAACAAGCCCAAACCTGTGGACTACAACAAAAAACAATGTTAAAAGGGAAGTTTATAGCAATAAACACCTATATCAAAAAAATAGAAAAATTTCAAACAATCTAATGAAGCCCTTTAGGAACTAGGAAATCAAGAACATGCCAAACCCAAAATTAGTATAATAAAAGAAATAATAAAGATCAGAGAAGAATTAAACAAAATATAGATGAAATAAACAACATAAAGGATCAATGAAACAAAAAGTTGTTTGTTCGAAAAGATAAATAAAACTGATAAACCACTAGCTAGACTAATAAGAAAAGAGAAGACCCAAATTTTAAAAATCAGAATGAAAAGGAAATATTACAACTGATACCACAGAAATACAAAAGATCATCAGAGATCTTTGACATGAACATATCATATGAACAACTATATGCTAACAAACTGGAAAATCTAGAGGAAATGAATAAATTCCTGGATATATACAACCTACCAAGATGGAATCTGGAAACAATAGAAAACCTGAACATACTAATAACAAGTAATAGATTAAATCAGTAGTAAAAAGTCTTCCAGGACAACAAAAAAGCGTCAGGACCAAATGACTTCACTGCTGAATTCTATCAAATGTATAAAGAAAAATTAACACCAATTTTCTCCAAAGTATTCCAAAAATTTGAAGAGGATGGAATTCTCCCTAACTCATGCTATGAGGCTAGCATTACCTTGATATCGAAACCAGACAAAGACACAACAACAAAAAGAAAACTAAACCAATATCCCTGATGAACATAGATGCAAATATCACCAAAAGAATACTAGCAGACTGAATTCAACACCATATCAAAAAGATAATACACCACAATCAAGTGAAATTTATCCCAAGGATATAAGGATGGTTCAACACATGCAAATCAGTAAACATGAAACATCACATAGACAGACTAAAGGATAAAAACAATATGATCATCTCAATAGACACAGAAAGAGTATTTGTTAGAATTCAATGTCTCTTCATGATAAAAAGAAAAATCCTCTCAACAAACTAGGCATAGAAGGAATATACCTCAGCATAATAAAGGTCATATATGATAAACCCACAGCTAACACCTTACTGAATGGGGAAAATTTGAAAGCCTTTCCTCTAAGAACTGGCACAAGACAAAGATGCCCTTTTTCACCATTACTATCCAGCTGATCCTGGCCAAGCTGGGTGCCTTCAAAATTTTAAAAATGCAATCATATCACTACACACCCGCTATAATGGCTATAATTCAAAAGACAAATAAGTTTTGGTAAGGATGTGGAGAAACTAGAACCCTGATAACATTGCTTGTAGGAATAGAAAATAGTGCAGTCACTTTGGAAAACAACTTGGCAGTTTCTCAAAAAGTGAAACTTAACATACAATTCAACAATTCTACTCTTAGGAATTTACCCAAGAGAAAGAAAACATATGTCCCCACAAAGACATTTATACAAAAGTTCATGATAGTATTATTCATAATAGCACCAAATTGAAAACACTCAACTGTCTATCAATTGGTGAATTAATAAACAAAATGTAGAACATTCATGTAAAGAAACATTACTAAGCCATAAAAAGAATTACCTTCTAATATATGCCATAGAATGAATGATCTGCGAATCATTATGCTTAGTGAAAGAAGCCAAATTCAAAAGAGTGTATATTGTATGTCTCCATTTATATGAAATGTCCAGAATGGACAAACCTATTAAAACAGAAAATTAGGTAAGTAGTTGCTTATTACCTCAGAGGGTGGGGAAACTGAAGGAAAATGGGGAATAACTGCTAATGCATATGCAATTTCTTTTGGGGATTATAAATATGCTCTAAAATGTATTGTAGAGATTGCTGCATAACTCTCTGAACATACTGAAAGACATTAAATTATATACTTCAAATAGATCAATACTATGGTATGTGAATCATATCTCAATAAAGCTGTTGTTATTCAAAAATGAAAAATGCAGTAGAAAATGGGAAGCTAAGCTTTAGGAGAGCTAACGAGAAGAAACAGAACAGAATGGAAAGCAGGTCAGCAGTGAGACAAGGAAGCTGCACATTATATATTGGAGTCTGGTGAGCAGAAGGTCTGGAGTTGGTGGGGTGAATGACTGAGGGATTCATTCCTGAGTCTACCCAGAGCTGAGTGCTTAAGGAATATTGGAAGATAATGCTCCATAGCATCATTAGGGAGCAGAATAACAGAGTCAATACCGGCGACCAGCTGTGAATAACCAGTACCTACCAGGTTTTCTGGATTTACATGATCGCATAGAGAGAGGGAGGGATCCCTAATGATCAGGGACATTAGATGTCCCATTATTGATGAGAGTGGGATCTCAGTGTGGATTAAATTTGATTCAGATAAATACTGCAAGAAAACTGGCTGAAGTAGGCATGATGATTATCTCATTGATATTCATTCCCTTTCTTCCCCTTTGTGTAGTGACCATGAAGTCTGGGGAGACTGATCTTCAAGGACATGCCCTGAATGGTATCAGTTACTCAAAGTAAACCCATCTCCTTTGCCACAGTACAGATCTACATCCCATAAAATGTTGTGCTTTTTGCTATAATGGTTCTTAAAAAGTCATTTCATTTTCAGACAATTCATTTTTTTCTATGGGGCTTTTCCTTTTTACCCCAAAGCACACTAAATGAAAAATAGAAGTAGTAGGAATAATAAATAATTAAAATAATAAATATTATTTTTGACATTGACACATTCAATTTACTCAAAGACATGTTCAATTTACTCAACACAACATTTTCTAGTCAGACAATTTCATATGAATCTAACTTGAATTTTGAGCAATGTCTGGAAAAACACAAAACAGTTGACTTTGCTTATGTATGCCAAATAAGAGGGATAGAAGATTTGCAGCTTCCACAGTGCTTAGTATGTTGTGAACCTACACTATTTCCACATGTTTCAAAGCTTTCATTTTCTTAGCTTTGATTTTATCCCAAAAGTATTTTGTATGCTATAATTTTTCAGTGTAGTTTAAGAGCAAGATCACCAGAGTCCCAAAAGTTTTAACAAGTGATGAAGAAAATGGTATGAAAATAAGACAAAGAATAGATCAGTAAACCCTTAGTATATTCTATTTTATGCCTAAACTTGAATTTTTGTTTTCAAATTATTGGATTTTTAAAAATTGTGTTAAGTTATTTGAATTGTTATATAAAATTATCAAGTACCTTGAGTTGGGACTAAATGCATCACAATTTTTCTTTTAAAATGAAAAAGTATTTTTTGCACTTAGCAACAGAATTTTCAGGAAGGAAGTAGATATTACACAAGGAATATGTTTTAAGTAATCCAGGACTAAGTTAATCAAAGCATGACATTTCTCTTATAGGATTTGGTTCAGTGGTTGCCCATTGGGAACCATATGAGTCAGAAAACTCATATGATGGTTGGGGAAGGGTTCCCTCTCTTCTTGATTGTGGACATAAAGTATGCAGCTCTGTGCTGCATTTTGTGACCATGTCAGAGAGATAGATAGCTTTGGATTGAAGCCTATATGACAGGCAGAATGAAGAGGCAGAAAGAATCTATGGCTTTGAGGATATGATTTAGCTGCCAAATTAAACTAAAAAGAAAAATCATATTTCTTGGGTTTCTAGTTATGTCTCTGCTGTTTACAGTTTGTTACAGCAAACTGATCTGGGGTTTTTTTTTATACATTTCAACCAAAAGTGTCATAAAATGGGTTTTTAGTTTCCAAAAGTATGGCAGAATACATGTGCAGAGAAATCCTTCCAGGAGTAAGTAAAATAATATTAAGTAAATACATAACAATTTTTTTCAGAACACTGCTGAACTGGAAGTAAAGAAATGGAACTAGATGAAACAAACAATGAGAAAGTACGATTCCATGAGGATTAGCTGAGCCCTAGAGCTTGCATTATCCTTGAGAATATCTGCCAATTATTATAGCTCGAAGTCTGGGTTTTAATTGGCAAATGTTTGAAGAACAGAAGCCAAAACAGGTGCCAGAGTAGAGGAGAGAAAGTAGGATCAGAGATACCTGCATGAAACCAGGACCACTCAAAGCGTGTCACTCACAGTGGGTAAATAAGAGACAAATGTGACCCACAGCAGGAAAGATGTTCCTTCTCTTTGCATGGAGCAGAAATAAAGAAAATAAGTCCCCCCTGAGATGTCTTAACCACAAGCCATATTCCCATCATTTTGCCACTGAAACTGATATTGCCTAAAAAAATTTAAACTAGATGTTGAGTTTGAAAGTTGGTAATACCCCAGGTACTATTGTTATGAAGAAATGTATTTTATTTGCAGGCCTCAAATAAAATATTATGAACTCACAATAAAAATGATTAATACACATGCAAAGAAGCAACCATGAATCAAAAATTTAGCATAAATAACAATTGTAGAAGCAGCTGTACATTAATAAAAATAAAACACTTCAAAACTTTTGGAACATAGCCAGTAGTCTTCATAGGGAAACTTAAAGCCTAAAATGCTTGTATTAGGAAAAAATCAAAACATGATTACCTAAGCAGTTATTTTAAGACATTAGAAAAAGAAGAGCAAAAGTCAGTCATTCTCCACTTCACTCGATGATGATACATGCTGAGAAATGCATTGCTAGGCAATTGTGTCATTGTGCGACCATCAGAAGGTGTACTTACATAAGCCTGGATGGGATAGCATACGCACACCTAGGCTATATGGGATAGCCTAGTGCTCAGAGGCTACAACCTGTACAGCATGTTACTGTACTCAATATTGTAGGCAATCATAACACAATGGTATTTGTATATCTATACATATCTAAATATAGAAAAGGTACAGTAAAAATACTGTATAAAAGATTTTTAAATGCTACACCTGTTTAGGGCACTTACCATGAATAGATCTTGCAGGACTGGAAGTTTCTCTGGGCGAGTCAATGAGTGAGTGGTGAGTGAATGTGAAGGCCTAGGACATTACTGTATACCACTTTATAAACACAGTACACTTAGGCTACACTAAATTTATTTTAAAATATTTTTCTTCAATAATAAATGAATCTTAGTTTACTGCAACTTTTTTACTTTATAAATTTTTAAATCATTTTTAATCTTTTTACTCTTTTTTGTAGTAACAATTAGCTTAAAACACAAACACATTGTACAGTTGTACAAACATATTTTTCTTCATGTTTTTATTCTATAAGCTTTTTTCTGTTCAAAAATTTTTTGGTTTACTTTTGTAACTTTTTTGTTAACTAAGACACAAACATTCACATTAGTCTAGCCTATACAGGGTCAGAATGAACAATATCACTGTCTTCCACCTCCATATCTTGTCCCATTGGAAGGTTTTCAGGGCAATAACATGCATAGAACTGTCATTTCCTGTGATAACAATGCCTTCTGGAACACCTCCTGAAGGACCTACCTGAGGCTGTTTTACAGTTAACATTTTTTTTCATAAGTAGAAGGAATACACTCTAAAATAGTAATAAAAAGTGTACTATAGTAAATACATAAACTAGTAACATAGTCCTTTATCACCAAGTATTATGTACTATACATAATTGCATGTGCTATACTCATACATGACTGGCAGCAAAGTGGGTTTGTTTACACCAGCATCACCACAAACTTGTGAGTAATGTGTTATGTTACAATGCTAAGAAGTCACTGTGTGAAAGGAATTTTTCAGCTTCATTATAATATTATGGAGGGCATCATATATGCACTCTGTTGTTGACTGAAATTGTCATTATGTATTGCACAACTGTAAACCCAAAAAATGTAGGAGTAAGAAGAAATAAAATAATAAAGACAAGAGCAGAAAAACATAAAGTAAAAAACTTCATAATTTTGAATCAACAAATCCAAAAATGATTTTCTGAAAAACTAATGATTTTGACAAACGTCAGGCAAGATCTATTAAGAAAACAAAAGAGACAGCATAAAAGATTAGGAATGAATAAGAAGGTGTAATTAAAGAGGCGGCTGAGATCAAAATGACAAGAAAATATAAGTAACTTTAATGTTAACACATTTGAAAAATTAAGTGAAATGAACAAAATACTTTTAAAAGTTACCAAAATTGACTCAAAATTAGTCAAGAAATAAAAATCATAAGGTTATCTGTAGTACATAATTCTCCCTTGAGGAAAACAGCAGATCCATACAGTTTTACAGGAGCGTTGAAAGAAACATTCAAAGAAAGATAACTCCAAACCTGAACTTCCAGTTAATAGAATAAAAGAGAAGGTTTTCCAATTCAGCTTACATATTTAATTTATTTTGTTATCAAAAGTAAAGAGAGTAAAAGAAAGGGGAAAAACAGGCCAATCTTATTAATGCAAGAACAAAAAAAATTCTTTTTTTCTTTTTTTGAGATGGAGTTTTGCTCTTTTCTCCCAGACTGGAGTGCAATGGCGCGATCTCAGCTCACTGCAACCTCTGCCTCCAGGGTTCAAGTGATTCTTCTGCCTCAGCCTCCTGAGTAGCTAGGATTACAGGCGCCCGCCACTATGCCCAGCTAATTTTTGTACTTTTAGTAGAGACGGGGTTTCACCATGTTGGCCAGGCTGGTCTTGAACTCCTGACCTCAGGTGATCCACCTGCGTCAGCCTCCCAAAGTGCTGGGATTACAGGCATGAGCCACGGTGCCCTGCCAAAAAAATTCTAAAAAAGGAAAAGTATAAATTGAATTCAGCAATGTAAAAAAAGATGACATATAATTACCAACTATGATATACTCTAGGAATGCAATTTTAACATTATAAACATTAGATTTAACATTATAAAATCTATTAAGTAATGTATCACATTAATATATTAAAGGAGAAAATATTATTTTAATAGGCATAGAATACACAGTTGATAACATTTAATAATCATTTTTGATACAAAACCCCAGTGGACAAGTTATAAAAATGAATTTCTTTAACCTGAAAATGTTATGCATGGAAATTTTATAGCAAACATTATAATCAATGGTGAATCATTATAATCATTCACAATATAACTATTGCTATTCAATATTGGATTAAATATCATAGTGCAATAAGAAAAAAAAGAAATGCTATAAGGATTGGAAAGTAAATTATTATTATTCAGAAATAACATGGTTTTCTACAAAATAGGAAACCTGAAGGAATTCTGCCCAAATTATTATAATTCATCATTTGGGGAAATAATGCAATAAATTTGTTAAGTTTCTGCCAAAGTTACCAGTTATAAGATTAATAACTAAAAGTCAGTGGCATTTTTATATAGCAGCAACAGCTAGAGAAAAATTTCAAAGCATACTATTTACAATAGTTAAAAAAAAAAAGTACGCAGTAAGATTCTAACAGAAAGTATGTAAAAACATGTTTTTCTTTAGTTGGTTGTTTTTGTTTGGGTCATTTTGAGTGTGTTCCTTAAGGCAAATCAAACAGAAACCTAGGCTGTCATTTTAGTGGGGTTTCTAAAGGGAGTAGAGGTAAAATGGATATTTTTAAAACAGACTTGCATCCAATCCTTTTTTTTTTAAGTTCTGCCTGTATCCTACTTCCAGAATAACAGGGGTCAAGAATCCTGAAGCTTTGCAGATTATACAATGGCAATTATTGTGCTTCTAAATTTTTCTCACTAATGGCTTTATTCAGATTTCATGGATCTGCTAAATCAGTTACCACACAACCATCCACCATTCAGATTCCACTACCTTCTCCCCTCTCATCCCTTTGCCCTGTAGCATTTCCATTTCCCCCACCACTTTCTCTTCCCTTCAATCCCTTGGCAGTTGTTTGAGAGTTTCTGGGAGAATGTAGAGTTGAGTATGTGTGTTTAATTCTCTATTTTTACCACTGGCCCACTCTAACTTTCTACAAGCATATTTCTGAGAGAAATCAGGTATTCACTTGGAAATCAGGTTAATCAAGTATTTATTTGGTAATGGAAGAAAAACCATGCTCTTTTTTCCCAGCAGAACTGATTGTTCCTGGAAACTCTAACCAGTGGACAGCAACACACTAATTGGCTTAGCCTATATGCCAAGTTTATTTAACCTGGGCTGAGGGTATTACCAGTGACTGAGTCAGGGTCAAGTATAATAAATGGTTCCAGGAGGATAACAAAATTTTGCTCTTTGGGGCCTGTTTAAACGTAGCTTTCCTCTCAGGAGTAGGGCGAGAAGAATCTAAGGCACCCTACCAGCTCCCCCAAAAAGCAGAACTTTGATGCTTTCGTGAGGCCAAAATAAACAAGGCATGACAGCAGTGCTATATGCCTTTCCCTCTTTTCGTGACTGAGAAGAAAAGATATACAGTAAGGTAATGACATGTCTTTTGGACTTGCCCTTTTGCAACTGATATTTAATATGCACTGGTTGCTACTGCTGTGCTTTCTCAGACTTTTCATATTACGCTTGTACCTCAAGGTGATTGTTCACAACTGACATCGTTTTAGAAATACTTTTTAATTATGATTTAAAAGATAATAGTTATAAGAACTTTACTAATTTAGGCTGTGGATTCTTATCTATAGCTGAACAAAATTACACTCTAATTTCCTTCAAAACTTGTAATTTAGCACAGAATCAAATCTTTCCTTTCATCTTCAGATCTTCTGCCTAGTTTCCAAATCCCTAGAGATCAATCTAATCCTCTAAGATTCTCTTCCTTTTAACTTTTTCCTTTTCGGGATCTCAGATCATGAACCCTCTTTTCAAAACCTATTGTCGAGGAACTGGCATCAAATCTAGGACAACATTTAAAATGTTGAACAATTGATCTAATGACCACTGACCTAGGAGATTTTGTTTCCATATTCATCACAGGTGCCTCTGTATCCTTGGAAAATACCTTAACCCCAGCTTTTCTTTGTAAATGAAAATTATAGTATTTGTAATCAGTGTCTTTATGCAGAGGAAGCATGTATAGAAAGAAAATATATATAAAGTTGTCAGTGTGTACTATTGTTCCCAGTTTTCTATGGTTAGTACTGAAATAGTATGAAAAAGATAATAAAATAAAAGTGAAAGGAGAAACAAGAAAAAAGAGAATAATGAGAATTATATACAAGAATATAAAGTGATTCTTTTAGAGGGAAATGTAGACATAGATTTCTTCAAGAAGCTTCTGCCCAATTAAGTGATGTAGGAAAAATCATCATGAAGTATAAATAACGAGCTTAATAGAAAAACTAACAAAGCAGTGAATAAAAATAAAAGGAAGACTTTGTTATCTCAGTTGGAGAAAATGGGAAGTGAGACGTTTATTTTGTAGAAATATTATTTTAAACAAGCCTTAAAAAGATATTTTTTAATGTTCAGAAAAGAAATATCATGCTGCTGTATTTATATGTTAAAAAAACATCTGCTTGGCTTTTTAAAAATTGAAACTGCACTTGTTTCAACATTATATCCCCCTTGAAGCCTTTCCCAATTTCCAAAACAAAATTAATTACTCTCCCCTTAAGGTCTCATAGGACTTTGAAGTTACTTGTCTTGTAGCATTGTAGTTAACATTTTCTGTGTTATTCCTCCCCCTTAGGACGTGAGCTACTCTAGGAAAAAAATAATATGACTTATTCTTTTAACCCCAGGGCTGAGATCCATAATACGAATGAAAGAGAATTTTCTTTTTTATTCTCTTCTGCTATGTATTGCCTTTTTAAGGTGGACATTTAACTGGACATTCAAACTTGTTTATGACAATGTCTCTTCACACTCATTTACAAGATATTGTCCTTTCTTTTACTTAAGATATAAGCTCTTTCTAAAATTCTAATTCTATTACACCAAATATATATTTTATATAAAATAAAATGGCAATAATATCTACCTGCATTTGGTGATGATGTTTATCTTCCATATAAACAGACAGAATTTCTTTATCAGTGTATTACTATAACACAGTTAAATGCCTTAGTAGAATTTTTAAAAAGTCACCTGTACCTGACTGACTGCAAGTTGTTTCCATGCAGAACTTTGCCAATGACAATACCCTGTTTCATTGAGTAGTTTTCTAAATTTGAGGTATATCTTGTCAGAAACCAGCGGAGAAAAAAAATATAATTATTCCAAGCTTTCAAGACACAGTTGACTCTTTTACAACCTCCCCTTACCTCCCAAATAATTGTCTAAATGAAAGGAATAAAAACAGTAGGGTGGTTTTGTTTTGTTTTGTTTTGCTTTGAGATGCTTGAGTTAATCACTCAAGGGAGAAAAGAAAGTAAATGATATAGTATAACTCCATTGACAAAGGGACAAAGTATGGGTTAGGCTATAGATCTGAAGATTTCCTGTTTGGTTCCCATTTCAACACTTCTGTCATTAACTGTATACCTTTGCTCACAACATTTTAATCTCTCTTAGACTAAAAAATATACAGAACAATATGATAGCCAATCCTCTTTCCAATACTTCTGCAGTGCTCCCACCTTATAACAAAACCTTTTTCTGTTTCTGTAAACAAAGTACGTTGGTTGGGATTAAATCCTGACCCACCCCATATAGAATTCCAGTCTACACCAAGTAGTATTGCAGGGAAGCTCTAGCATGCATGCGTACATAATCACACTCCATGCCCTCAGGGTTGGAAATGTGGTTATATCTGATGATATAAAGCAGCTTTGAGCTGGTGATAGGTTAACATTAAAAGGATTAAGGCTTGCTTTGACATGGGCTGACATACAAAAATTAGATTTAATGCTAACAGCTGGAATGCTCAAGAAAATAAAGAGTAAGTAAGGGAAAGACAAATGGAGTTAAATTAGAACAAGTGGGTGTTAAAGGCGTGCCCAGGATTATTTTCAACTCAGTTTTAAAATGTTTCAGTCAATGTCTAAAAAAGGTAGAGTTGGCATTAATTCTCATCAATGATTATAAAATATAGAAAAAAAAGTCTCAGGTGGAAATTTTCATCTTGCAAGGTAACTATTGTACCACTGCAAACTTTTTTTTAAAGAGAAGTGACTAATCCTGGAGCTTTTTAAGTACTTTCAGCTTCACCACACTTGAAAAACATGCTAATATTTTAAAATCTAGAAGACCTGTTAAGTCTCAGGAGGCAGATTTATTTTTCTCTCAGCATATTAGCCAGAAAATTAACTTACAGGTCTGAGCCACACAGGTTAACCTTGATTACAAAGCTTTTGATGCTGACGTGGAGTGCACCTCAAGGTATATTTGCTGAGCTGCAGGTGGTTGATAAGAACCAGGACATAAGTATGCACTAATTCCTTTTCCCGTATATACCTCTGTGCTCCGTGAACTACCTGTGTCAGAGTCATGGGGCTAGGGTAGGGCTGATTAAAAGTGCAATTTTTTTGCCTCCACTCCAGACCTACTGCAGCTGAAACTCTGAGAGTGGTGCTTAGGAACAAGCACCCCGAGTGATTCTCATGCTTATCAAAGTTTGAGAACCATTGACCTATTTTCTGACTATTCTCAATATTCTCCACAGCCAATCTCTCATCTTATTTTTACTGGAAAAAACAAAAACAAAAACAAAATGAAACAAACAAAAAAAACATACTTGATAAACATTGTCTTTCTCTGGCTCGGGTGGTGGGCATTACTAAAGTTTGAGGTCTTCACTCTAGAAAGTCTGGTAGATGAGACAAACATGAAAACAAAATGTGCCCATGCTGTTGACTTTGCCTGAAGTGCCACCATCATCCCTTCCCCATAGAGCCCTGCTAAATTCCTTCCTTTTCATTCTCAAGACTCAGTTGCTATAGCTCCTCCTATTGACTCTGAAAGCAGAGATCATTATCTCCTCCTTTGGGCCATTATTTCATATTACTGTGAAATTGACAAACCATAGAAGTGCCATTACAGTGTGACTGAAACTGTCTCCTCTGTAAAACTGCTCACTTGAGGGCAAAGAGAAAATTTCTTATTATTTTATCCCCAATTCCTAGGTGAGTATCTGGCACAGAATTAATGTTCTATCATTTTTGGTGAATGCATAAGTGATAAAGAGAGTTCACAGGATATGGGGAGGTGATTAAATTTTGAAAGCAGCATGAATTGTGGTGAGATACTAAAATTAAAACATAATACAGTAATCTTCAAAAGTTATAGAGACCCACATTGCCTATAGCAAACACTTTACTGGACATTGGTAAATTTGCCCGTCCTATGATAAATTAAAGGGTGAATCTGGGAAGTTCAAGAACAGAAGACAGAAGCTTGATTTCCTTCCCTTTGGTGGTTCTGGGGACTTGGTAAGGACAATTATTAGCTGTTGCTTAACTCAGTTCCATTAAGAATGCTTATTTTTACTTTCAGCTGTTACCATCTTAAAGTCTCTGACAAGTATAAGGATAAAGATTTGTGGGTCTCTTTAACAATTATTTGATGCACATGGTTATGTGCATAAAACATAAAATGTTTTTTATGCTTTTAGAATTGAAAGTCTCTAATATCTTTAATTCCAGATGCTAATCCATCTAGTTTTACAAATTCCTCTATCCCTGGGCTTTACAGACTATAGCTTATATTTTATACTAGTAAGTATCATTAAAATGCTGATAAATTATCATGTCACTGATTCTAAGATTTACTTTTTAAAATATTTCACATGGCAGAATTCAGAATTGTCTTAAAACTGATGATGTCTTATTTTAAATGAAATACTGTAGCTTTATTTGTATCAATAGTAACACTAAACAACTACAAGGGATATCAAATGTTATAGCTAAAGCTCGTAAAATATATAATTAAATATATACTTAGCACATAAAGAATTTGCTTGTAAGAGAATTGAAAAACAAAATTTAATGAATTTCTGTATTTAAATCCTTCAGGAGTAATAAAGAAGACACAGCACTTTATTTCTTAAGCTATGAAACAGACCTCAAAGTTTAATGTATATCTTTATCTTTTTCTTTCACGCCTGAAGCTATGACTTTGTGAATTGTATGTCTTCAGAAATTAAAGACTGACTGAAAGTTTATTCCAAATCATGCACATAGGGAAGTACTCTTTGGGCTAAGGAATGTAACTTATGTCAGAAATACAAGCATACCTTGGAGATACTGCAGGTTTGGTTCTAGACCACCACAATAAATTGCAATAAAGGGAGTTACACAATTTTTTTGGTTCCCTAGTGCATATAAAATTTATGTTTATACTTTACTGTAGTCTATTAACTGTGCAATAGCACTATGTCTAAAAATAATTTGCATACAGTAATTTAAAAATACTTTATTGCTAAAAAAGTTCTAACCATCATCTGAGCCTTCAACAAATTGTAATTTTTTTTGCTGGTGGAGATTCTTGCCTTGATGCCCATAACTGCTGACTGTTCAGGGAGGAGGTTGCTGAAGGCTTCTGTGGCTGTGGCAATTTCTTAAAATGAGACATCAGTGAAATTGGCTGCATTGATTTTTTTTTTCACAAAAAATTTATTTGTAGCATGTGATGCTGTTTGATAGCATTTTACTCACAATAGAACTTTCAAAACTGAAGTCAATCCTCTCAAACCCTACCAATGTTTGATTATAAGTTTGTGTAATATTCTAAATTCTGTTGCCATTTCAATAATGGTCACAGCATCTTCATTAGGAATAGATTCCATCTCAAGAAACCACTTGCTCATCCATAAGAAGCAACTTCTTATCCATTCATGATTTCTTATGAGGTTGCAGAAATTAAGTCACATCTTTAGGCTCCACTTTTAATTCTAATGATCTTGCTATTTCCATCAAATCTTAAGTTACTTCTTCCACTGAAGTGTTGAACCCCTCAAAGTCATCATTGAGGATTGGAATCAACTTCTTCCAAACTCCTGCAAATGTTGATATTTTTACCTCCTCCCATGAGTCACAAATGTTCTTAATGGCATCTAGAATGGTGAACCTCTTCCAAGAGGTTTTCAATATACTTTGTCCAAATCCAACAGGTATGGCAGTTATAGTCTTATGAAATGTGTTTCTTAAATAATAAGACTTGAAAGTCAAAACTACTACTTGATTCATGGGCTGCAAAATGGATGTTGTGTTAGCAGGCATGAAAACAACATTCATCTCTTTGTATATCTTCATCAGAGCTCTTTGGTGACCAGGTAAGCAATAATATTTTGAAAGGAGTCTTGTTTTCTGAGCAGTAGGTCTCAACAGTGGGCTTAAAGTATTCAGTAAACCATGCTGTAAACAGAAGTGCTGTCATCCAGGCTTTGTTGTTCCATTGATAGAACCCAGGCAGAATTGATTTAACATAATCCTTAACGGCTTTAGCATTTTTGGAATGGCAAATGAGCATTGGCTTCCACTTAAAGTCACCAGTTGCATTAACTCCCAACAAGAGAGTTAGCCTATCCTTTGAAGCTTTTAAGTCAGGCACTGACTTCTCCTTTCTAACAATGACAGTCCTAGATGGTATCTTCTTCCAATAGAAGGCTGTTTCAACTCCATTGAAAGCTAGGTGGGCTTTTTGTTAGTTGGCTTTAAAGAAGAAGTAGGTGATTTGTCCAGACCCTCACCCTTAACTGCTGTGATCTACAATCCTCTACAGCCATTTCCTGTGAACCAAGGTAGGGAATAAATTTGATCTGCCTCCAACAATGAGGAGGAGGAGGTTGTGACTGGTGAGTTTTTCTCTTTAATGAAGGCAACAGAGCACAAGTGCAGAACAGGAAAATGAATGTAGGGCCAGAAGGTGTTTTTTGTCAACCTTTCTTTTTATTTTTAAGCCCATGGAAAGAAACATGATTGTGGTCTTTCTACAAGTAGAGGTGTAACCACTGGTTCAAAATATCTTCAGAATGAACACAAATTCACATCCTTAAAACTCTTCTGGCTTCAATTTGTGGGAAGGAGCATTATGAAGGTAAACAACTTGGCAGTTTTATAAAAAGTACTCAGAAAAATAATTATTTCTGTCTCAATTGGGTACATTTTAAAACTGATGTTGATGAAATATGAAAACAAGTAAATGAGTAAAATTTTGAGACAATTAGCATACCTTTTATTTTCTATAAAATAAATATGGTTGACTCAAACAACACAGTATTGAAGTGCATGGGTCCACTTATATGCAGATTTTTTTCAATAAATCTATTGAAAAAATTTCTGCAGATATGTGACAATTTGAAAAAAATAGATGAGTCTTACAGACAAAAATTATTGAAAAAATTAAGAAAAAGTTAGATATGTCATGAATGCAAAAAATGTTAGAAAATATTATTCTACTAGTCACTTACTACCATAAAACATACACAGATCTTATATAAAAAGTCAAGATGTATCAAAACTTATGCACATACAGCCTCACAGGGCGCCATTTGCAGTTGAGAGAAATGTAAGCAAACATAAAGATGCAGTATTAAATCATAATTACATAAATTAACTTTAGTATATACTGTACTACTGTCATAACTTCATAGCCATCTCCTCTTGCCACTGTGGTGAGCTCAAGGGTTGTATCTGCTTAAGACACCATGTGATGCTAATCATTTCCACATGAGCAGTTCATCTTTCCAGTAAACTACATATCCTAATAAAAAGTGATCCCTCACAGCTTTCGCATATTTTTTAACTGTGGTTAGTGCAATACCGTAAACCTTGAATAATACCATGGGACTAACATGAAGTGCCACTAGTGGTGGTGGAAGTGCTCCCAAGAAGCAGAGAAAAAGTGGCATTATCAGAAAAAGTTAAGGGGGCAGTTCCAAGATGGCCGAATAGGAGCAGCTCCAGTCTACAGCTCCCAGTGTAAGGATGATTTCTGCATTTCCAACTGAGGTACCAGGTTCATCTCACTGGGGCTTGTTGGACAGTGGGTGCAGGACAGTGATTGCAGCCCACTGAGCGTGAGCTGAAGCAGGGTGCATCCCCTCACCCAGGAAGTGCAAGGGGTCAGGGAATTCCCTTTCCTAGCCAAGGGGAGCTGTGACAGACAGCACCTGGGAAATCGGGTCACTCCCACCCTAATACTGCACTTTTCCAAAGGTCTTAGCAAATGGCACACCAGGAGATTATATCCTGTGCCTGACTTAGAGGGTCCCATGCCCACGGAGGCTTGCTGATTGCTAGCACAGCAGTCTGAGATCAAACTGCAAGGCAGCAGCAAGGCTGGGGGAAGGGTGCCTGTCATTGCTGAGGCTTGAGTAGGTAAACAAAGCAGCCAGGAAGGTCGAACTGAGTGGAGCCCACCGCAGCTCAGGAGGCCTGCCTGCGTCTGTAGACTCCACCTCTGGAGGCAGAGCATAGCTGAACAAAGGCAGCAGAAACCTCTGCAGACCTAAATGTCCCTGACAGCTTTGAAGAGAGTAGTGGTTCTCCCAGCACGGAGTCTGAGATCTGAGAACAGACAGACTGCCTCCTCAAGTGGGTCCCTGAGCCCTGAGTAGCCTAACTGGGAGGCACCCCCCAGTAGGGGCAGACTGACATCTCACATGGCTGGGTACCCCTCTGAGATGAAGCTACCAGAGGAACAATCAGGCAGCAACATTTGCTGTTCAGCAATATTCGCTGTTCTGCAGCCTCTGCAGCTGATACCCAGGCAAACAGGGTCTGGAGTGGACCTCTAGCAAACTCCAACAGACCTGCAGATGAGGGTCCTGACTGTTAGAAGGAAAACTAACAAACAGAAAGGACATCCACACCAAAACCTCATCTGTACATCACCATCATCAAAGACCAAAGACAGACAAAACCACAAAGATGGGGAAAAAACAGAGCAGAAAAGCTGAAAATTCTAAAAATCAGAGCACCTCTCCCACTCCAAAGTCATGTAGCTCCTCACCAGCAATGGAACAAAGCTGGATGGAGAATGACTTTGACAAGTTGAGAGAAGAATGCTTCAGATGATCAAACTTCTCTGAGCTAGAGGAGGAAGTTCAAACCTATCACAAAGAAGCTAAAAACCTTGAAAAAAGATTAGATGAATGGCAAAGTAGAGTAACCGGTGTAGAGAAGCCCTTAAATGACCCAATGGAGCTGAAAGCCATGGCATGAGAACTAGGGGACGAATGCACAAGCTTCAGTAGCCAGTTCGATCAACTGGAAGAAAGGGTATCAGTGATTGAAGATCCAATGAATGAAATGAAGTCAGAAGAGAAGTTTAGAGAAAAAAGAGTAAAAAGAAATGAACAAAGCCTCCAAGAAATATGGGACTATGTGAAAAGACCAAATCTACGTCTGATTGGTGTACCTGAAAGTGATGGGGAGAATGGAACCAAGTTGGAAAACACTCTGCAGGATATTATCCAGGAGAAGTTCCACAACCTAGGAAGGCAGGCCAACATTCAAATTCAGGAAATACAGAGAACACCACAAAGATACTCCTCGAGAAGAGCAACTCCAAGACACATAATAGTCACATTCACCAAAGTTGAAATGAAGGAAAAAATGTTAAGGGCAGCCACAGAGAAAGGTCTGGTTACCCACAAAGGGAAGCCCATCAGACTAACAGCTGATCTCTTGGCAGAAACTCTACAAGCCAGAAGAGAGTGGGGGCCAATATTCAACATTCTTCAAGAAAAGAATTTTCAACCTAGAATTTCATACCCAGCCAAACTAAGCTTCATAAGTGAAGGAGAAATAAAATCCTTTACAGACAAGAAAATGCTGAGAGATTTTGTCACTATGAGACCTGCCCTAAAAGACCTCCTGAGGGAAGCACTAAACATGGAAAGGAACAACCAGTACCAGCCACTGCAAAACCATGCCAAATTGTAAAGAACGTCGAGGCTAGGAAGAAAATGCATCAACTAATGAGCAAAATAACCAGCTAACATCATAATGACAGGATCAAATTCACACATAACAATATTAACCTTAAATGTAAATGGGCTAAATTCTCCAATTAAAAGACAGGCTGGCAAATTGGATAAAGACTCAAGACCCATCAGTGTGCTGTATTCAGGAGACTCATCTCATGTACAGAGACACACATAGACTCAAAATAAAGGGATGGAGGAAGATCTACCAAGCAAATGCAAAAGAAAAAAAGGTAGGGGTTGCAATCCTAGTCTCTGATAAAACAGACTTTAAACCAACAAAGATCAAAAGAGACAAAGAAGGCCATTATATGATGGTAAAGGGATTAATTCAAAAAGAAGAGCTAACTATCCTAAATATATATGCACTCAATATAAGAGCACCCAGGTTCATAAAGCAAGTCCTTACAGACCTACAAAGAGACTTAGACTCCCACACAATAATAATGGGAGACTTTTACACCCCACTGTCAACATTAGACAGATCAATGAGACAGAAAGTTATCAAGGATATCCAGGAATTGAACTCAGCTCTGCACCAAGTGGACCTAATAGAGATCTACAGAACTCTCCACCCCAAATCAACAGAAGATGCATTTTTCTCAGCACCATATCACACTTATTCCAAAACTGACCACATAGTTGGAAGTAAAGCACTCCTCAGCAAATGTAAAAGAACAGAAATTATAACAAACTCTCTCTCAGACCACAGTGCAATCAAACTAGAACTCAGGATTAAGAAACTCACTCAAAACTGCTCAACTACATGGAAACTGAACAACCTGCTCCTGAATGACTACTGGGTACATAACGAAATGAAGGCAGAAATAAAGATGTTCTTTGAAACCAATAGAAAAAAGACACATCATACCAGAATCTCTGAGACACACTTAAAGCAGTGTGTAGAGGGAAATTTATAGCACTAAATGCCCACAAGAGAAAGCAGGAAACATCTAAAATTGGCACGCTAACATCACAATTGAAAGATCTAGAGAAGCAAGAGCAAACACATTCAAAAGCTAGCAGAAGGCAAGAAATAACTAAGATCAGAGCAGAACTGAAGGAGACAGAGGCACAAAAACCCCTTCAAAAAATCAATGAACCCAACAGCTGGTTGTTTGAGAAGATCAACAAAATTGATAGACCACTAGCAAGATTAATAAAGAAGAAAAGAGAGAAGAATCAAATAGATGCAATAAAAAATGATAAAGGGGATATCACCACCGATCCCACAAAAACAGAAACTACCATCAGAGAATACTATAAACACCTCTATGCAAATAAACTAGAAAATCTAGAAGAGATGGATAAATTCCTCGACACATACACCCTCTGAAGACTAAATCAAGAAGAAGTTGAAACCCTGAATAGACCAATTACAGGCTCTGAAATTGAGGCAATAATTAATATCCTACCAACCAAAAAAAGTCCAGGACCAGATGGATTCACAGCTGAATTCTACCAAAGGTAGAAGGAGGGGCTCGTACCATTCCTTCTGAAACTATTCCAATCAATAGAAAAAGAGATAATCCTCCCAAACTCATTTCATGAGGCCAGCATCATCTTTACACCAAAGCCTGGCAGAGACACAACAAAAAAAGAGAATTTTAGACCAGTAGAAAAATATCCCTGATGAACATTGATGCAAAAATCCTCTATAAAATACTGGCAAACTGAATCCAGCAGCACATCAAAAAGCTTATCCACCATGATCAAGTGGGCTTCATCCCTGGGATGCATGGCTGGTTCAACATACACAAATCAATAAACGTAATCCAGCATATAAACAGAACCAAAGACAAAAACCACATGATTATCTCAAAAGATGCAGTAAAGGCCTTTGACAAAATTCAACAACCTTCATGCTAAAAACTCTCAATAAATATGGTATTGATGGGACGTATCTCAAAATAATAAGAGCTATTAATGACAAACCCACAGCCAATATCAGACTGAATGGGCAAAAACTGGAAGCATTCCCTTTGAAAACTGGCACAAGGCAGGGATGCCCTCTTTCATCACTCTTATTTGACATAGTGTTGGAAGTTCTGGCCAGGGCAATCAGGAAGGAGAAAGAAATAAAGGGTATTCAATTAGGAAAAGAGGAAGTCAAATTGTCCCTGTTTGCAGATGACATGATTGTATATCTAGAAAACCCCATCATCTCAGCCCAACATCTCCTTAAGCTGATAAGCAACTTCAGCAGTCTCAGGATACAAAATCAATGTGCAAAAATCACAAGCATTCTTATACGCCAATAACAGACAAACAGAGAGCCAAATCATGAGTGAACTCCCATTCACAATTGCTTCGAAGAGAAAAAAATACCTAGGAATCCAACTTACAAGGGATGTGAAGGACCTCTTCAAGGAGAACTACAACTGCTCAACGAAATAAAAGAGGACACAAACAAATGGAAGAACATTCCATGCTCAGAGATAGGAAGAATCAATATCATGAAAATGGCCATACTGCCCAAGGCAATTTATAGATTCAATGCCACCCTCATCAAGCTACCAGTGACTTTCTTCATAGAATTGGAAAAAACTACTTTAAAGTTCATGTGGAACCAAAAAAGAGCCTGCATTGCCAAGACAATCCTAAGCCAAAAGAACAAAACTGGAGGCATCACGCTACCTGACTTCAAACTATACTACAAGGCCACAGTAACCAAAACAGCATGGTACTGGTACCAGAACAGAGATATACATCAGTGGAACAGAACAGAACCCTCAGAAATAATACCACACATCTACAACCATCTGATCTTTGACAAACCTGACAAAAACAAGAAATGGGGAAAGGAGTCCCTATTTAATAAATGGTGGTGCTGGGAAAACTGGCTAGCCATATGTAGAATGCTGAAACTGGATCCCTTCCTTACACCTTAAACAAAAATTAATTCAAGATGGATTAAAGACTTAAATATTAGACCTAAAACCATAAAAGCCCTAGAAGAAAACCTAGGCAATACCATTCAGGACATAGGCATGGCCAAACACTTCATGTCTAAAACACCAAAAGCAATGGCAACAAAAGCCAAAAATGACAAATGGGATCTAATTAAACTAAAGAGCTTCTGCAGAACAAAAGAAACTACCATCAGAGTAAACAGGCAACCTACAGAATGGGAGAAAATTTTGCAGTCTACTCATCTGACAAAGGGCTCATATCCAGAATCTACAAAGAACTCAAACAAATTTACAAGAAAAAAACAAACAACCCCATCAACAAGTGGGTGAAGGATATGAGCAGACACTTCTCAAAAGAAGAATTTATGCAGCCAACAGACACATGAAAAAATGCTCATCATCACTGGCCATCAGAGAAATGCAAATCACAACCACAATGAGATACCATCTCACACTGGTTAGAATGGCAATCATTAAAAAGTCAAGAAACAACAGGTGCTGGAAAGGATGTGGAGAAATAGGAACACTTTTACAGTGTTGATGGGACTGTAAGCTAGTTCAACCATTGTGGAAGACAGTGTGGCAATTCCTCAAGGATCTAGAACCAGAAATAACATTTGACCCAGCCATCCCATTACCGGCTATATACCCAAAGGATTATAAATCATGTTGATATAAAGACACATGCTCTCCTTGAAGAGGTCCTTCACATCCCTTGTAATTTGGATTCCTAGGTATTTTATTCTCTTTGAAGCAATTGTGAATGGGATTTCACTCATGATTTGGCTCTCTCTCTGTTTTTGGTGTCTAAGAATGCTTGTGATTTTTGCACATTGATTTTGTATCCTGAGACTGCTGAAGTTGCTTATCAGCTTAAGGAGATTTTGGGCTGAGACAATGGGGTTTTCTAGATATACAATCATGTCATCAGCAAACAGGGACAATTTGACTTCCTCTTTTCCTAATTGAATACCCTTTAATTTCTTTCTCCTTCCTGATTGCCCTGGCCAGAACTTCCAACACTATATCAAATAGGAGTGGCGAGAGAGGTCATCCCTGTCTTGTGCCAGTTTTCAAAGGGAATGCTTCCAGTTTTTGCCCATTCAGTATGATATTGGCTGTGGGTTTGTCATAAATAGCTCTTATTATTTTGAGATATGTCCCATCAATACCATATTTATTGAGAGTTTTTAGCATGAAGGGCTGTTGAATTTTGTCAAAGGCCTTTTCTGGAACTATTGAGATAATCATGTGGTTTTTGTCTTTGGTTCTGTTTGTATGCTAGATTACGTTTATTGATTTGTGTATGTTGAACCAGCCTTGCATCCCAGAGATGAAGCTGACTTGATCATGGTGGATAAGCTTTTTGTTGGCTGCTGGATTCAATTTGCCAAGGACCTCTTCAAGGAGAGCTACAAACTACTGCTCAATGAAATAAAAGAGAGTACAAACAAATGGAAGAACATTCCATGCTCAGAGATAGGAAGAATCAATATGTTGAAAATGGCCATAGTGCCCAAGGTAATTCATAGATTCAATGCCATTCCCATCAAGCTACCAATGACTTTCTTCACAGAATTGGAAAAAACTACTTTAAAGTTCATATGGAACCAAAAAAGAGCCCACATTGCCAAGTCAATCTTAAGCCAAAAGAACAAAGCTGGAGGCATCACGCTACCTGACTTCAAACTATACTACAAAGATACAGTAACCAAAAGAGCATGGTACTGGTACCAAAACAGAGATATAGACCAATGGTACAGAACAGAGCCCTCAGAAATAATACCACACATCTACAACCATCTGATCTTTGACAAACCTGACAAAAACAAGAAATGGGGAAAGGATTCCCTATTTAACAAATGGTGCTGGGAAAACTGGCTAGCCATATGTGGTAAGCTGAAACTGGATCCCTTCCTTACACCTTGTACAAAAATTAATTCAAGATGGATTAAAGACTTAAATGTTAGACCTAAAACCATAAAAACCCTAGAAGAAAACCTAGGCAGTGCCATTCAGGACATAGGCATGGGCAAGAACTTCATGTTTAAAACACCAAAAGCAATGGCAACAAAAGCCAAAATTGACAAATGGGATCTAATTAAATGAAAGAGCTTCTGCACAGTGAAAGAAACTACCATCAGAGTGAACAGGCAACCTACAAAATGGGAGAAAATTTTGCAGTCTACTCATCTGACAAAGGGCTCATATCCAGAATCTACAAAGAACTCAAACAAATTTACAAGAAAAAAACAAACAACCCCATCTACAAGGGGGTGAAGGATACGAACAGACACTTCTCAAAAGAAGACATTTATGCAGCCAACAGACACATGAAAAAATGCTCATCATCACTGGCCATCAGAGAAATGCAAATCAAAACCACAATGAGATACCATCTCACACCAGTTAGAATGGCGATCATTAAAAAGTCAGGAAACAACAGGTGCTGGAGAGGATGTGGAGAAATAGGGACACTTTTACACTGTTGGTGGGACTGTAAACTAGTTCAACCATTGTGGAAGACAGTGTGGCGATTCCTCAGGGATCTAGAACTAGAAATACCATTTGACCCAGCCATCCCATTACTGGGTATACACCCAAAGGATTATAAGTCATGCTGCTATAAAGACACATGCACATGTATGTTTATTGCAGCACTATTCACAATAGTAAAGACTAGGAACCAACCCAAGTGTCCATCAGTGATAGAGTAGATTAAGTAAATGTGGCACATATACACCATGGAATACTATGCAGCCATAAAAAAGGTTGAGTTCATGTCCTTTGTAGGGACATGGATGAAGCTGGGAACCATCATTCTCAGCAAACTATCACAAGGAGAAAAAACCAAACACCGCATGTTCTCACTCATAGGTGGGAATTGAACAGTGAGAACACTTGGACACAGGAAAGGGAACATCACACACAGGGGCCTGTTGTGGGTTGGGAGGAGCGGGGAGGGATAGCATTAGGAAATATACCTAATGTAAATGACGAATTAATGGGGGCAGCACAACAACCTGGCACATGTATACATATGTAACAAACCTGCACATTGTGCACATGTACCCTAGAACTTAAAGTATAATAAAAAAAAGAAAAAGAGAAAGTTGAATTGCTTGATATAGATACCATAGATTAAGGTCTGCCTTTGTGGTTGCCAGTCAATTCATGATAAATCTAGCAGAAGAACCACTGTAAGAAAAAAAAGAAGAAAAAAAACTTGTGAAACTGTCACTGCAGCTATGCCAACAGGATAAAAACTTTGCACTTTTTGTGAAGCATTTTTTATCTCATATTGAAAATGCAGCTTTTATGTGGGTGCAGCATTGTTATAAGAAAGGCATACCTATTGGCTCAAATATGATTCAAGACAAAATGAGGTCATTATATGAGAAAAAGGGAAAATAAAGTGAAGGATCTAAATCTAGAGACTTTAATGTCAGCAAGGGATGGTTTGATAATTTAAAAAAGAGGTTTGGCTTTAAAAATGTGAAGATAACAGGAGAAGCAACTTCTGCTGAACAAGAGGCTGCAAATGAGTCCCCAGACACCATTAAGAAAATCATTAAAGAGAAAAGGTATTTGCTTGAACCCATTTTTAATGCAGACCAAAGTGCCCTATTTTGAAAAAATGCCATGAATGACATTAATTAGTAAGGAAGAGAAGTGAGTGCCAGGATTGAAGGCAGGAATTGATAGGCTAACTCTACTGTTTTATACAAATGCAGTCAGGTTTATGATAAGGACTGCCTTTACCTATAAAGCTGCTAACCCCCAAGATTTGAAGGGAAAAGATAAACATCAGCTGCTAGTCTTTTGTTTGTACAACAATAAAGCCTGCACACTGAGAATCTTTTTCTGGACTGGTTCCACTGGTGTTTTTTCCTGAAGTAAAGAAGCACCTTGCCAGTAGGAGACAGCCTTTTAACGTTCTTTTGATAGTGGACAAATTGAACAATGCCCCTGGTAACCCAGAACCCCATGAGTTCAAGGCCAAAGGCATCAAAGGGGTCTACTCACCCCCCAAACACAACATCTCTAAATCCAGGGGGTCATAAGGACCTTTAAGGCTCATTACACACAGTACTCTATGGGGAAAGGATTATCAACACTGTGGAAGAGAACCCTGACATGGAGAACATCATGAAAGTTTGGAAAGATTACACCATTGAGGATGCCATTGTTATTATAGAAAAAAACATGAAAACCATCAAGCCTGAAACAATAAATTCCTGGTGAAGAAAACTGCGTCCAGATGTTGTACATGACTTCACAGGATTTATCACAGAGCCAATCAAGGAAATCATGAAAGTGATTGTGGATATGACAAAAAAAGATTGGGGGAAAGGGTTTCTAGATACAGATCTTGGAGAAAATCGAAAGCTAATAGATATCAGACTAGAATTAAAAGATGATTTGATGGAGATGAGTGTTTCCAAACCTGTGACAGATTATGAGGAAGAAGATATAGAAGGAGCAATGCCAGGAAATAAATTGACATTAGACAATCTGGCAGAACTGTTCTGATTATTCAAGACTGCTTTTGACTTCCTTTACAGCCTAGACCCTTCTATGATAGAGGCACTGAGACTGAAATAAATGGTTGAAGAAGGATTGGTACCAGATAGAGACATTTTTAGAGAAATTAGAAAACAAAAAATTTAGACAGAAATTACAAAGGATTTCTGTAGTTACACTGAGTGTGACCTGCTTCTCCTGCCTCCTCTTTCACCTCCTTCATGTCTTCCACCTCTACCACTACTGAGACAGTGCGATCAACCTCTCCTTCTCTTCCTCCTTTTCAGCCTAGTCAACATGATGACAAGGATGAAGGCCTTTATGATGATCCATATCCACTAAATAAATGTAAACATATTTTTGTTTTCCTTTTGATTCTCTTAATAACATTCTCTTTTCTCTAGCTTATTTTATTGTAAGAATATAGTATATAATACATATAGCACAAAAATATGTCTCAATCAACTATTTATGTTAATGGTAAGGCTTGTAGTCAACAGTAGGCTATTAGAAGTTTTTGGGAATTCAAAAGTTGTACGTGAATTTTTGACTGCACAGGGGGCTGGCACTCGTAACCCTGCGTTGTTCCAGGTTCGACGGTAATCTATACACTCTCTCATCTAAGAAGACCTTCCAGATTTTTCCAAATAGAATTAACTTTGTTCTCGTTTCTGATTCTCATAAAATTTGGTGTATGCTCATTTCAGCCTTCCCAGTACTAATCACTTGGATATCTATATCCCCCAAAAGATTGTGAGTTCCAGGAGACAGGATGTCTGTTTAATAATAATGATAATAATTATTACAACTGAAATTTAAATATTATATAGTTTACAAACAATGCCTACATACATTTTCTCATTTTTTCTTTTTTCCTCACAAGAGCCTTGTAATAGCTTTGCATTCTTTTCAGCACTGCATATAATACTTTGCATATAGTAGGCTTTCGAAAATATTTTGGGGCTTAATTAAAATTAAAACTGGATTGTGTGGGTTGAATTAAAATGCTGCCAATTCTCTGAATTTTTATGTCCTGTAAAGCAATTAAGAGAGGGAAAGAAGATTTTGAGTAATTTCACTTTTTCATTTGTATACAACCAATATATCCCTAAAACAAAAATTAAGAAAGTATTCATTAGACCATTAAAATTAATTATGACAGCATCTAAACAAGGCAGGTTTAAAATATTTATTTATTTATCTATTAGGTCAGAACATCTCTTCTTTTTCCTGCCCCCTTAGCTTGTTCACTTGAATCTTGGTGAGTATTCTATAAGCTCCACATACAGCATGTACATTGGGGAAATGAAAAGTCACACCAGGCTTCAAGAAAGTGATTCTGTTGGTAACTAGGACCAAGCCAGTTATGCCCATTCAACCCATTTTCTTTTAGAAGACACAGCTTCTTATAGCCCTTTGGGGCCTGCTTAAATTCTGACATTTCTCTATTGGAAAATGAACTGAAGTTTTCAAACTGCATTTCACTACACAGATCACTAGTAACTACAGCTGAATTATAATCCCATATGATAACTATCCCATGAGACAAAAGCTTTCTCACCATTATGCACTCGAAGTAATCGGGTTTCTCTGCCGAGACTCTTCTATTTTCATGAGCAATTTAAAAATCACTTACAACTCAGAAAATAGGTCACCGCTTATTTCATTTTTTAAGATAGTTACAAGCAGTGTCTACCCCATGTCCAAAACCACCTCTTATTTTCATGGGACTCAGATTGCCAATGGCTCTCTGGAACAGAAAGGTCATTCAAAAAGAAATGGAATGAGAGGGTGGCTAATATAAAGAACTAGGCTTTTTTTAAAAATGAAAAACAAAACCTGAGAAGAGCACTTAGAAGCTAAATACTATTAGAATGAGAGGTAAGACTCCTGGAAAAAGAATAAAAACAGAACAGAGCTGAGAACCAGAAAGGAAAGCAATGAATTAAGAAATAATTAATGGTATTTGCATGTAGAGTACATGAAAGAAGAGAAAGAAATAAAATAAATGGTCTTGGAATTCCACCTACAACTCAGACATTTTTCCTGTAGGCATTCAGAATGTATTAAACAAAAGTAAAACTCTGCCAACAATAATGGCTGTGTTTCCATAGTGCTTTGATGGATCAGAGCTTGTTTTAGGGAATAAGGAACCAACGAAGGTTTTTGTGCACTTGGTGACATGGTCTATTTGTGCTTTAGAAGGGCCCCTTCTGGCAGCATTATAGAAAAATTATTGGAAGGGAAAAATCAGAATAAAGAGTTGGAAGATACTGCAATATTCTAGAAATGAGAGAAGAGTCTAGAATCCAAAAGTGACATTGAATTACAAGGAGATAATGAATAGAAAAGACATTAGGAGATAAATTCAATTGAACTCAGTAACTCCTCGGCTAAGGAAAGTAAAAAGGAATAAGGTGAAGCTAGGAAGAGAATTCATTATTTTACAGTGCCTTGGATAGATGGTGGGATGTGTGTTGACTACATTAACCAGAAAATGGAAGAAAAGAGAAGGAGATAATGCCTTGAGAAGATGAGCACACTCGATGGAGCTGACCTGCACTCAGCTGCAAATCACGTCATCCACATGAAGGCAACAGCTGAAATAAAAGGAGTGTCCATAATATATTAGAAAGAGTAACACTTTAAAAAAATTGTGGAAACACATTTATACTAATGACGGATTGCTGTTACAATAATTCAATTGATTTCCATTATTCATTAAGTATATAATTAACTTCAGAGGCATTAAGATATAATGGATAGGTGTGTCCTGCTTTACCAGCTTAGAGCACAGGAAACTTCTAACATTCAGAATGTTATGACTGAGCACCTTCCCATCCTCCTTATGACAAGAATGTCTATTTTCCCTCCTCACTACTGAGTTCTAGGGATCTGTCCTTCTTGCTAAACTTCACTGAGAGAAAAATGAAAGCACCTCATTAATCTACCCGAGGCCCCCTTCTCTGCCACACCGCACTACTCTAGAAAGCATTAACCGTTATGCACCCTGGGCAGGCCTCCACCATGGAGAGAGAAGCCTCTCAGAGGCCTGCCTATCTGAAACGAACTAAGTTGAAGCTTCAGGGCCCCTCAACAGCAAGGGCCCCTTCATGTCCCTGGAATGGGCCCTAGCAACTTTATATTCTGAATTTTGTATTCTTTTATTTTTAAAGAAGGAACCTAATATGTTATAAATTCAGGTCCAACAACACCTGAATTGGCCCTTTCCCACACTCTCACTGCTGCTCTGAGAGCAGCTCCTCCACTCTGCGGAAGGAAGAAGCAGTCTCCTGCCTCTCTGTCCAGTTTATGGTTGTGCCATAAGATGATAGACCTGGGCTTCTCAGGTACAACTCTTCAGTGACAGTGGTGGAGTTTAATCATGGACAAATGCAGGAAGCATGCACAGCCCTCACCTAAGATGCTTAGATTATTGCACATGAGCTGTGGTCTGATGCAGTGTTTCCCACATCACCCCAGGCTCTGGTATGAGTGCCAGGCACCAGTTCCAGCTTTTTCTCTTCCAGAAGGGTTCCCCTAAGTGTCTTCTGTGGTTCTTACTGCCAACAGGTCTTAAACTAGGACACCTCAGCAACCAGACATTGTAGTGACATTGAAACTCAAAGCCTCAGGTTCTCCTTCCCATTTCTCCCCAAAGTCTCCTTGGCCTTTATGCAAATTTGAGCAACTTATTCATCACCAGAAACCTTCAAGAGTAATATTTTTAAGGCAGAAAACCAGGCACCACCTGCCTTCAGAGCTAAAGTTCCATGCCTTATAAGCCTAAGAGGGAAATGATACCTTAACACCTTTCCTTCACAAAAAAATGATCCCCATTTCATTCATATAATTGAAATGAGCCGTTAAATTTTTTTCCAGAACAAAAAAAGGCAGCTTCCATAATATATTTTTCTAGATAGAGGTACATATGTTTTGCAACCTTTAAATAGCCTCATCTCATTCTCTTCATTTTCTCTCTCTCTCCCCGCCCCCACTCTCTCTCACCACACCTTGCACCATTAAAATTCTGCTTCATTGTATTTCCCTCAAAATAAGTACATGGGAATAAAATATTTATTTAGAAATGTACCTGATACAAACTGGGGTTATCCACTACCCAGGGCAAGCCTTTATGGTTCTGGGACTTATAAGATCCCTTTGAACTCCTAAAATATTGCTTGATTTTATCAAATACACAGTGGAAATCTTTAGTTGTGAATATACTGAACATAGCACTTTCAATGCTTCTGTAAACCTAATGGAACCTAAACTGAAAGCTACCACCTTGATTTAAACCTTTGGAAGAATGTGAATAATTAAGGAGGCATATTCAGGATTTAACTTTATTTCAGAAGGATAAATGTCTCACATATTAATTTGTCTTCTAATTCAATTAACTTAAATGATGTAAGAGTTAATGTTTCACTGAAATACGATTTTTTCTACTATTTTGATTTTTCTGGAAAAAAATCAAAATATTACAATATTCTGCTTTTTAGAAAATGAATCCAGCAGCCATTTTATCTTTTATTTTTCTACCTTTAAAAAGCCAAGTTGGAGTTTATTTTATGCATTATTTTTAAAACTTGGGGATAAGTAAACTTTTAAATAAGATATCAAAAAGACAAAAGAACAAAAATCTCTAAGAATGTTTTAAAAATGAGAAGTGAGGGGGAGACTAACTCTACAAACTATTAAAACATGTTGTAACGTTAAATCAGGAGCAGTGTGAAGAGGCGAGAACGACCCCAGGACTGACCAAAGCCCGCGCTGGGCAACTACGTTCTGCCGCCATCACCGCCACCATGCCCAAGAGAAAGGCTGAAGGGGATGCTAAAGGAGATAAAGCCAAGGTAAGGGACGAACCACAGAGAAGATCCACGAGGTTGTCTGCTAAACCTCCTCCTCCAAAGCCAGAGCGCAAGACTAAAAAGGTCCCTGCAAAGAGGGGAGAGAAGGTACCAAAAGGGAAAAAGGGGAAAGCTGATGCTGGCAAGGAGGGGAATAACCCTACAGAAAATGGAGATGCCAACAGACCAGGCACAGAAAGCTGAAGGTGCTGGAGATGCCAGGGGAAGTGTGTGCATTTTTGATAACTGGCTACGTCTGGTGACTGTACAGTTTGAAATACTATTTTCATCAAGTTTTATAAAAATGCAGAATTTTGTTTTTTTTTTAAGCTATGTTGTTAGCACACAGAACACTTCATTGTTGTTTTAGGGGGAAGGGGCATATGTCACTAATAAACTGTCTCCAAAGCTGAATTGATATGGGGAAAACCTTTTTCTTCTAGTTTTGAGAGATTTCCTCTTGGCTACCAGGAGAAGGGATTCCCTGACTTTGACACACATGGCCACCTTGGAACAAAAACCTTGTGGTATGGAAAAACAAATTCTTTTTTACGTCCTCTTCTCCTTTTCCACCTTTCAGCATAGACTTAACTCCCTTAAACCCAGACATCTGTTGAGACCTGACCCCCAGTATTTGGTTACCAGTGTGTCAGGCAATCTGGACTGTCCAGTGATGCCACTGAAATGGCACCCCTCAAAAGATCAGTGGTTCTGTTTCTAGATTGTGGCTCTTCAGATAAATTCTGCCATTTTCATTTCACTTCCTGAAAGTCAGGGTTGGCTTGTGAAAAGTTATTAAACAACATGCTAAATGTGAAATGTCAACCCTCACTCTAAACTTTCCCTGTTCAGAGCATCAGATGAAGGCTTCTTTGGATTTTACGGTGGCTTTCTGATTTTTGGTAGTCCATTGAAGAAGGGAGTTTGAAAGTTGTTGTATACTGTTAGAGATTGCCTACCCATGTTCTGCCTGAAATACCATGATTGTTTATGGAAAGTATCTTTAATAAAGCTGGATACAATTTGGCTTGAAAAAAAAGTTAAATCAGTTTGACAGTAACAAAAGCATATCATTAATTAAATACATATTGCCTATTATTTTCAGTGATAATGTTATTAAAAAGACTTCTTATACTCATCCCCATACCCCAAAGCAGCAGTTAGTCACCTAAGGTATCTGAGTCGCCCTTGTCAGAATTCTCAGTTTACCAGATTGCATGTTTGCTTTTACCCAGGAATAAATGCTTGAGTGGCCGCGTCTGACTCAGCTCTGGTGACGTGTCTACAGGAGGCTCCCTTTCTAGGATCCCCTTGAACTCCTAAAATATTGTTTGATTTTATCAAATACACAGTGGAAATCTCTAGTTGTGAATATATTGAACATAGCCTTTTTGATGCTTCTGTGAACCTAATGGAACCTAAAGTGAAAGCTACCACTTTGATTTAAGCCTCTGTTGTAAAATTCTTTTGCAATTCTCCTGAGGAAATTCACTTTTGGAGGAACTGCTTTTGCTTCTGTATGAGTCCCTCAGTGCTGTTGTCTCATCGGTGATCTGTTTGCCTCTGCTTTCTGTTTTCCAGAAACCCTCGCTGTCCTGGCCTGCAGTTGGGGTCCTCCTAGATTTCCAGAGTTGCTACGTGTTTTATTTTTAAAGTTTATACTGTCATTTCATGGGATCTGGGAAGAAGGAGAGGGCTCTAAAATGTGGATATAGTCCAATTTGTTGAAGAACTCTTTTTTTTTTTAATATACTTTAAGTTCTAGGGTACATGTGCACAACGTGCAGATTTGTTACACAGGTATACATGTGCCATGTTGGTTTGCTGCACCCATCAACTTCTCATTTACATTAGGTATTTCTCCTAATGCTATCCCTCCCCCAGCCCCCCGCACCCTGACAGGCCCCAGTGTGTGACATTCCCTGCCCTATGTTCAAGTGTTCTCAGTGTTCAATTCCCACCTATGAGTGAGAACATGTGATGTTTGGTTTTCTCTCCTTGTGATAGTTTGCTGAGAATGATGGTTCTCAGCTTCATCTGTGTCCCTGCAAATGACATGAACTCATCCTTTTTTATGGCTTCATAGGTTTCCATGGTGTATATGTCCCTCATTTTCTTAATGCAGCCTATCATTAATGGACATTTGGGTTGGTTCCAAGTCTTTGCTATTGTGAATAGTGCCGCAATAAATACACGTGTGCATGTGTCTTTATAGTAGCAGGATTTATAATCCTTTGGATAAATACCCAGTAATGGGATCGCTGGTTCAAATGGTATTTCTAGTTCTAGGTCCTTGAGGAATTGCCACACTGTCTTCCACAATGGTTGAACTAATTTACACTCCCACCAACAGTGTAACAGCATTCCTATTTCTCCACTTCCTCTCTAGCATCTGTCATTTCCTGACTTTTCATTGATCACCATCCTAACTGGCATGAGATGGCATCTCATTGTGGTTTTGATTTGCATTTCTCTGATGAGCAGTGATGAGGAGCATTTTTTCATGTGCCTGTTGGCTGCATAAATGTCTTCTTTCGAGAAGTGTCTGTTCATATCCTTTGCCCACTTTTTGATGGGGTTGTTTTTTTCATGTAAATTTGTTAAAGTTCTTTGTAGATTCTGGATATTAGCCCTTTGTCAGACGAGTAGATTGCAAACATTTTCTCCCATTCTGTAGGTTGCCTGTTCACTCTGATGGTAGTTTCTTTTGCTGTGCAGAAGCTCTTTCGTTTAATTAGATCCCATTTGTCAATTTTGGCTTGTGTTGCCATTGCTTTTGGTGTTTTAGTCATGAAGTCTTTGGCCATGCCTATGTCCTGAATGGTATTGCCTAGTTTTTCTTCTAGAGTGTTTATGGTTTTAGGTCTAACATTTAAGTTTTTAATCCATCTTGAATTAATTTTTGTATAAGGTGTAAGGAAGGTATACAGTTTCAGCTTTCTGCATATGGCTAGCCAGTTTTCCCAGCACCATTTATTAAATAGGGACTCCTTTCCCCATTTCTCGTTTTTGTCAGGTTTGTCAAAAATCAGATGGTTATAGATGTGTGGTGTTATTTCTGAGGCCTCTGTTCTGTTCCATTGGTCTATGTACCTCTTTTGGTACCAGTACCATGCTGTTTTGGTTACTGTAGCCTTGTAGTATAGTTTGAAGTCAGGTAGCGTGATGCCTCCAGCTTTGTTCTTTTTGCTTAGGATTGTCTTGGCTATGAGGGGTATTTTTTGTTAATGGAACTTCATAAAGTTCTATATGAACTCAAAAATTTTTTTCCAATTCTGTGAAGAAAGTCATTGGTAGCTTGATGGGGATGGCATTGAATCTATAAATTACCTTGGCAGTACGGCCATTTTCATGATATTGATTCTTCCTATCCATGAGCATGGAATGTTCTTCCATTTGTTTGTGTCCTTTTTTATTTTGTTGACCAGTGGTTTGTAGTTCTCCTTGAAGAGGTCCTTCACATCCCTTGTAAGTTGGATTCCTAGGTATTTTATTCTCTTTGTAGCAATTGCAAATGGGAGTTCACTCATGATTTGGCTCTCTGTTTGTCTGTTATTGGTGTATAAGAATGCTTGTGATTTTTGCACATTGATTTTGTATCCTGAGACTGCTGAAGTTGCTTATCAGCTTAAGGAGAATTTGGCTGAGATGATGTGGTTTTCTAAATACACAATCATGTCATCTGCAAACAGGGACAATTTGACTTCCTTTTTTCCTAATTGAATACCCTTTATTTCTTTCTCTTGCCCAATTGCCCTGGCCAGAACTTCCAACACTATGTTGAATAGGAGTAGTGAGAGAGGGCATCCCTGTCTTGTGCCAGTTTTCAAAGGGAATGCTTCCAGTTTTTGCCCATTCAGTATGATATTGGCTGCGGGTTTGTCATAAATAGCTCTTATTATTTTGAGATAAGTTCTGTTAATACCTAGTTTACTGAGACTTTTTAACATGAAGCTCTGTTGAATTTTGTCAAAGGCCTTTTCTGCATCGATTGAGATAATCATGTGGTTTTTGTCGTTGGTTCTGTTTATGTAATGGATTATTTTTATTGATTTGTGTATGTTGAACCAGCCTTGCATCCGAGGGATGAAGCTGACTTGATCGTGATGGGTAAGCTTTTTGATGTGTTGCTGGATTCAGTTTGTCAGTATTTTATTGAGGATTTTCACATCAATGTTCATCAGGAATATTGGTCTAAAATTCTCTTTTTTTGTTGTGTCTCTGCCAGGCTTTGGTATCAGGAAGATGCTAGCCTTATAAAATGAGTTAGGGAGGATTCCCTCTTTTTCTATTGATTGGAATATTTCCAGAAGGAATGGTACCAGCTCCTCTTTCTACCTCTGGTAGAATTTGGCTGTGAATCCATCTGGTCCTGGATTTTTTTTGGTTGGTAGGATATTAATTATTGCCTCAATTTCAGAACCTGTTATTGGTCTATTCAGAGATTCAACTTCTTCCTGGTTTAGTCTTGGGAGGGTGTATGTGTTCAGGAATTTATCCATTTCTTCTAGATGTTCTAGTTTATTTGCGTAGAGGTGTTTATAGTATTCTTTCATGGTAGTTTGTATTTTGTGGGATCAGTGGTGATATCCCCTTTATCATTTTTTATTGCGTCTATTTGATTCTTCTCTCTTTTCTTCTTTAGTAGTCTTGCTAGCGGT